>NC_000012.12:31360113-31512809 GCF_000001405.40 Homo sapiens | reverse complement strand
TTTTTCTGTAAATCTAAAACCATTCTAAAAATTAAATTTACTTTTTAAAAAGTTTCTTAAAACAATGAAATGAGTTTGACCAATGCAAAGCTGAAGAAAGAAGATAACCATGAAATCTAGGATTCAAAGCAAAGGTTAATAAAATTTTGATTATGTGACACCATGACGGATATACAGTACAATAATAATATCCCTATGTTTGAAATAAGGTAGGTATCAAATTTTAATTTACAAACCAACACAAATTATTAAAGGAATAAAATATTCTAAAGAAAATAGGCTGAGTGCAGTGGCTCATGCCTCTAATCCCAGCACTTTGAGAGGCCATGGTGGGAGGATCCCTTGAGCCCAGGAGTTTGAGACCAGCCTGAGCAACATAGCAAGACCTTATCTCTACTAAAAATTAAAAAAAAAAAAAAAAAAATTAGCCAGGGGTGTGGTGGTGTGTACGTGTAGTCCCAGCTACTCTGGAGGCTGAGGTGGGAGGGTCGCTTGACAAGCCCATGAGGTCCAAGCTACAGTGAACCGTAGTTGTACCACCACATGCCAACCCGGGTCACAGAGCAAGACTCTATGTCAAAGAAAAGTGCAGTGGAGGCTGGTGCGGTGACTCACGCCTGTAATCCCAACACTTTAGGAGGCCGAGGCGGGCAGATCACAAGATCAGGAGTTCGAGACCAGCCTGATTAACATGGTGAAACCCCGTCTCTACTAAAAATACAAAAATTAGCCAGGCATGGTGGCACGTGCCTGTAATCCCAGCTACTCAGGAGGCTGAGGTAGGAGAATCGCTTGAACCCAGGAGGCAGAGGTTGCAGTGAGCTGAGCACTGCACTCCAACCTAGGCAATAGAGCGAGACTCCGTCACAAAAAAAAAAAAAAAAAAAAGGGCAGTGGAGGGGATGTTTTTATTTCTTAAATTATATTTTAGTTTATATATAGTCAAGGCTTTGAAATGAATCATTTTCAAAGCTACCAATATTTTAAATAAGTGACTTAAAAATTTTGGAGTATATAATTCAGACCTAAGAGTACAGTTTTTATTCATCTATCCATTTACTCAACGAACATTTTTATTGCCAGGCACAATATTAAGTAGGTGTTGAGGATGTAAGGGTGAATAATGTGTTGAAGAGCTTAATTTATAAAGGGGAAGATATAATTTAACAGTGTTAATGTAATATGGTAAGCAGACAACAATATGCCATAGCAATTATGAGAACAAAGTTCCAAGAACTTCACAGTGCTATCTCTGTTAAAAAAAAAAAAAAAGACATCATATTCACGTATTATTAAGATAACCAAGAAAGGAAGATAAATGCTTTATCTTGAACCTTACTGTTGAGAAAAAATTTTATTTTAACACATCAATTAATATTTGTTTAGTACAGTGTTTGTACGATAGTGGTTCATTTAAAAATTAAGCTATGGAATTTTTAAAATATTGGACCATAAAAATCTGTTCTAATTTGTAGATTTTGTAGCGTTATGGAAGAAACTCCTCTCTTCTGGACAGGTCAAGAAAGGTTTCCCCAGGAGGTCTCTTCTGAATAGAATCTTTGTTTTTTTTTGAGACAGGGTCTCCCTCTGACACCCAGGCTGGAGTACAGTGGTGCAGTCACAGCTCATTGCAGTCTGGAACTCCAGGGCTCAAGAGATCCTCCTGCCTCAGCCTCCTGAGTAGCTGGGACTACAGGCTCATGCCACCATGCCTGGCTAATTTTTTAAAAAAAATTTTTTTGCAGAGATGGGGTCTCACTGTGTTGGCCAGGCTGGTCTCAAACTCCTGGGCTCAAGTTATTTCCCCCGCCTTGACCTCCCAAAATGTTAGGATTACAGGCATGAGCCACCACACCCAGCCCTGAGTAGAATTCTTAAAGATGTGTAGGAGCCTAATAGGCAGACATGGAAGGAGGGGTGTGGTAGGCAGAATTTTTAAAATATTCCCAAACATTGTCTTCTGGGTATTCAGTTAAAGAGCAGTCTAGGTTCTGCTGTTAAGGAATTTTACAGATTTAATTAAGGTGACTAATTAGCTGACCCTAAAATAGGGAGAGTTGCTTGAATTATCCAGGTGTGTCCTGTATAATCACGAGTCCTTAAAAGCAGAAAATCTCAGCTGCTGCAGAAGAGAGAAGAAATTAGAGAGATTTCAAGTGCAAGATGGTTTGATTTGAGATGTTGGGTGCCATATACAAGGACCAAAGAGAGATCTTAGGTGCTAAGGGCAGCTGGCTGACAGCTTGCAAGGAAACGGGGACCTTAGCTCTACAACCATAAGGAACTGAATTCCAGCAATAACCGCAGTGTGCTTGAAAATGGATTCTTTAGCCAGGTGTGGTGGCGGGCGCCTGTGGTCCTAGCTACCCGGGAGGCTGAGGCAGGAGAATTGCTTGAACCCCGGAGGCAAAGGTTGCAGTGAACTAAGATTGTGCCATTGCACTCCAGCCTGGGTGACAGAGGGAGACTCCATCTCAAAGAATAAGAATAAAGAAAGTGGATTCTTCTTCAGAGCCTCCAGAAAGGAATGCAGCCCTGTCAACAGGATGGTTTCAGTATTGTCAGACTTGGAGTAAAGGAATCAGCTGAGCCATGCTGTGCCAGACTTCTGGCTCATGGAAAATGTGAAATAATAAATGTGGGTGTGTTAAGCTGCTAAATTTATCATAATAACTTGGGGCAATAGAAAATTATTACAGGGGAAAAGTTGTTTCAGACACACGAAGTCTAGCAAGGACCCATAAGATATCGTACTTAAAAGGGAACTGCACGTCATTTGGCGTGGCTCAAGTGCAGGAGCCTCAGAAACTAAAGTAGGTCCAGCTAGATCATGGTGGTCCTCAAATGCCATCTAAGGAATCTGGACTTAGTTGGCAGGGACTGAATTTGTGACACTGGTATCTTAGTTCACGTTGATTTTCCCAAGGAGGTAAGATTAATTCTCTGTCTCCTTCAAGTTTGCTCAAACATCACCTCAATGAGGGCCAACTTGATCATCCTACTTAATACTGCAACTTGTGTACTGCTGGCTTTCCTCACTTTATTCTTTTTTAACTTTCCATTGCACCTTTCATCTTCCAACATACTATATAATTTATTATACTTATTATCTCCCTCCTCTTAGAATGTAAACTGTGAGAGCAAGGATTATTTTGGATATTTTGTTCACTATTTTTTCCAGTTATTTATTGTTGCATAATAAACTATCTCAAAATTTAGCCACTTAAAACAACCAAACTTTTTTAAAAATTATTTTTATGTATTTATTTTGAGAAAGAGTCTTGGCTCTGCAATTCAGTGGCACAATCATAGCTCATTGTAACCTCTTAACTCCTGGGCTCAAGCAGTCCTCCTGCTGTAGCCTCCCAAGTAGCTAGGCCTGTAGGCATACAAAACTATGGGTCTCTCCCCTTAGAATGCCTCAGCCTCCCAAAGTGTTGGGATTATAGGCGTGAGCTGCCACACTTGGCCAAATTAACTCCTCTTTAGGGATGAATAAGTGGATAATAATACTTAGATGGCTACATGAATTGTGGCACTGTCGACAGAGGAAAAGCTTTGAGGGGAAAAATGAGCTTGGTTGTGTAAACGTTGATGTTGAGGCTGCTGAGTCTGAGACAGCAAGTGGAGATTCTTGGTGGATAGTAAAAGTCATGAATTGAAACTCAGGGCTGGGGATCATCTTGAGGATTTTCTTTTTATGTTTTTCTGATGGAGGGAGGAAGGAAGACTTTGTTTTTCCCATGGAGAAGGGGAAAATTCTGCTCCCTTCACCTCACTTTTTTTGGTTTTGGTTGCTTTGTTTTATGTTAATTTTGCAGACTTCAAAAAGTGGTTAAAATGGCTCCACCTCGCCCCTCCCCCAAAGGTGACTTGACTTTTTTCTATTTCAAAAAAGTACGTTAGGTAGTAGCTTTGAGAATCACAGTCTCTGATAGAACTGGGAGGGTCTTAGTCATCTTATAGGTCATTGTTCTCCTCCTGATATATGTGATGTGTGATTTTCAGTCTGTGCAGAACCTTAATACTATTTTAAAATCTGGGTCTTCTAACACCAAACATAGTAGGGGAGGGCCTTGAAGGCCTTTAGATGAAAGGCCACACACTAACGCAGAGAGACTCAGATAACTGCTTTTGTTTAGCACAAATCACATCAACTGAACCATTTTAAGCTTCCAACAACTTCATTTAATTGTTAGAATAATGAGACTTCTGTTTGATTCTTACAGGAAGATTCTCTTTCCCAGTGAGTCTCGTTTCTAACATATTTAGCCCAGTTTGCTCATGTTAGGATAATTTCATAGACCATGAAACAGGATAGTCTATTTACTAATAGACTGCATTGACTAATGTGATATTTTACATTAGTAGAACAAATGTACCCCCTTCTCTACCTTGTAATTTATATCTTTCTTTTAGAGAACTTTGTTGATTTCTAATGTAGGAGGAAGAAAGTGGTATTTTTGTGTAAGCTTAACTGAGTTCCTTGTGTTTTTGACTTCTTATAAAAATTTTTTTGGTGATAGTATGTATTGGCAGCAAAAGTAGTTAATGGAAATGGAGGGAAAGGTCTACTTTACCTCTGACCAAATGACTGCTTCTTTGAGTCATGCAGCAGGAAAGTTTGTTTGAATCAGCTTAGCAGTGTTGCTCCATAGTGTTACTTGTCAGCCCTAAGTTTTTTAATGTTGAGTTACTTTCTTTTGTTCTGGAAGGCAAAGCGTGGCTCTCTTGGTGTCTCTTTAGCAAAGAATATGTTCTTTAGTAATGGGGAAAGATTTGTTTTATATTGAATAATAAAATGTGACATGGATAACAATATGCTTTCCCAGAAATACATTGGATAAATAATTTCCATAGAAGGTAAATACTTAAGAATAATTAATAATGTGTTTCTAATTTAGTAATAAAATAATGTGTTTTCTATAAGAGAAAACTCTTGCTCAAAGACATTGTGATTTGCACTAGGCTACTAGACCAGCATATTCAGCCAGAACCAGAACCTTGTTTTCGTGGCTGTATTTATTATTTGAAAATCACTTAGATGTTCTTCAGAATAATAAAAATTATTTACTAAGCACTGGCAAGCGCATGACATTTATTAATCTAAAAATTATGGACTCTTTCCTCTTAGAGTTTCATAATAGCAGTTACAATACTTAAATTACTTAAAAAATTTTTTTTTCTCACTTCAAATTTTATTATTAGTATGACAAACATGGGCTAGGATCAAAAACTTTGTTTATTCCTTATTATCAGAGAACTCTAGATCTTGAATTCATTGCTAAGGTTATTTTTGCAAGTAAATAATCTGCTGTTGTGTTCTTTGATTGGTGGTAAGCTGCACAGCACCTAAAACTGTCGTATAATAATTTGGCCAGGTGCAGTGGCAAATGATTTTAATGCCAGTGCTTTGGGAGGCCCAGGCAGGATCACTTGAGGCCAAGAGTTTGAGGCCAAGAAACATTTTTATTTTTTTGTTTCCATGAAAAATAGAAATAAAAACTCATCTGGGCATGGTGGCGTGCACCTGTAGTCCTAGCTACAAGGAAGGCTGAGGCGGGAGTTTGAGGCTGCTGAGCTATGATCGCACTACTGCTCTGCAGCCTGTCTCTAAAAAAAAAAAAGGAATTTGTCTGGTCTTTGTCTGTGTTTCCTGAACTTCTCAAACCCTTGGAATTTCCTGAGTGACGACGGGAATGTTATGCTAATCAGGTAACTAATGATGGGCCTCTGGATAGCTTCAGGATAGGCGCTGTCTCTGGAAGGACCAACTATGTGGTTGGGACTCTGAACCAACCTGGCCTCTGGAGAGGGAAAGGAGTTGGAGATTCAGCTTAGTCTTGTAGCCAATGATTTAATCAGTTGTGCATATGTAGTAAAGCCAGTAAAAACTCTGGACACTGAGATTTAGTGGAACTTCCTGGTTGGTGAAAACACTGATGTATGCGCAGGGGAAAGTAGGTGACATGCCCTTTTTCCACAAGAAGAAGGCATGGAAACTCTGCATTCTCTCCTTGATCTTACCCTATATATCTCTTCATTTGATTGGTCATCCTGATTTGTGTCCTTTGTAAGAAAACTGTAATTGTAAATACATCACTTTCCTGAGTCCTGCAAGCTCTAGTGAATTTAGTGTACCTGAGGGACTTGTGGAAACTCTCAAATTTATAGCCAGTCTGTTAGAAGTGCAGGTAGCCTGGGACTTCCAAAGTGTGGCTGGTGTCTGAAATAAGGGCACGCCTATTTGGGAGCGTACCCTTTTACTTGTGGGGTCTGTGCTAACTTTGGGTGGCTGATGAGAGAATCGGATTGCAGTACACTCAGTTGAGATTGAAACAGAATAACTGTGTTGTGAAATTTTGGTTTTCAGTGAATAAATTTTAGTAATTGCAAGTGTATTTAGGCAGGTCCGAGTGCAGTGGTGTTGATAACTAATTCATTACAATCAGTTACAGATTTCTTTGTTCCTTCTCCACTCCCACTGCTTCACTTGACTGGCCTTTAAAAAAATAAATAAATAATAAATTAAAAAGAGAAACTATATTTAGTGTTAGGTAAATATAACATGGCTCTTTAATTTTGATGTAATCAAGAGGAAAGATATTGTGAATCTCTTAAAAACTCAAAGCTTACTGGATTGATGTTGATGTACTCTTACTAAAATCTTAACTAAGTCTAGGCAAGGTGGCTCATGCCTGTAATTCCAGCACTTTGGGAGGCTGAGGCGGGCAGATCACTTGAGCCCAGGGGTTCAAGACCATGGGCAGTGTGGCGAAACCCTGCCTCTACAAAAATGTTTTAAAAATTAGCCAGGCATGAGAGTATATGCCTGTAGTCTTAGCCATGTGGGAGGCTGAGGTGAGAGGATCACTTGAGCCTGGGAGGTCCAGGCAGCAGTAAGCCATGATCGTGCCACTGAACTCCAGCCTGGACAACAACAGAGTGAGACTCTGTCTCAAAAAAACAATTAATTAATTAATTAATTAAAATAAACTTTAATATTACCTGGATTTAAGTTTCTGTGTTGTTGAATATTCCTTAATGGAGTCGATGAATTTGCAGAGACCCCTCCAAGATTCTTTTGTTTGATTCCTTTCATGACCATCACCCTAGACCTTCAAGTTTGCTGACTAGATTTGGGGGTTGTGTGTTTAGAAAGGATAACAAGCTTGTCATGGGCTAGAACCTGTGGTCTTCATAAATAGCTTAGTAGGATATATGGCTTTTTCTATGAAAGGTGGAGAACATGCATTAAAAATGGGCAAATTCTGGCCTGGGCATGGTGGCTTATGCCTGTAATCCCAGCACTTGGGAGGCTGAAGCGGGCAGATCATCTGAGGTCAGGAGTTTGAGACCAGCCTGGCCAAAATAATGAAATCCTGTCTCTACTAAAACTACAAAAATTAGCTGGGCATGGTAGCACACCTGTAGTCCCAGCTACTTGGGAGGCTGAGGCAGGAGAATTGCTTGAACCCAGGAGGCAGAGGTTGCAGTGAGCCAAGATCTCAACGTCACACTCTAGCCTGGGTGACAGAGTAAGACTCTGTCTCAAAAAAAAAAAAAAAAAGGCAAATTCTGTCTTATACTTGGAGAACTGTACTCGTGTATTTAAACATGTAACAAGCAATGTAGACAGTTACCAATAGAAGGTACGATATAGTCAGGGGTTAGTATTATAGTCAGAAAGTCAAAACGAACACAAATAAAAACTCAGGCTAGTAAACACATGAATAGCTAACTGCTGTAATAACAACCCCATAATACTTCAGTGGCATGAGACAATAAAAGTTTTTCTCATTCACGTTTAGTGTAATGTAGGCCAAGGTGGGAGGCACTCTACTTCACAAAGATATTTAGTGACTCAACTTTCTTCCACTTTGAGAACTGTCCATCTTTTAAGGCCTCCTTTGCATTTAGCTGATAGATGGCAGAGGAAAGATAGATTGTGTGCCTTGACCCGGAAATGACGTCATTGCTGCCCACATATCATTGGCAAGAACTAATCGTTTGACCCCCACCCAGAAGCAGATTTTCTTTAAAACTTCTAGGCTCCTGGGGTTATCTGTCAGGGCAGGAAGAGAGGGAAATAGTGTGAGACTTAGCTTTGTTTTGTGGAGAAAGTCTCTGGTCACAAACAGGCTATGATGGAAGTGGATAGTGCAGGAGGTAACTTACTGGGGCCCTCCTAGTGGGAAGGTTTAGGGAGGAGAGTGAGTGAAGAAATATTTAACCATGATGATCAGGCTGAAAAACAGCCCCCAAGGTTCATAAATCTCAAATATTCCTCTTCATTTGCAACCCCACAAGCATGCTATAGAAATCTCTACCAGTAACTTTGAGCTGGGGATGGGGTCCCTATTTCCACTGCCAACTGAGAGGAAGCGTGAAGCAACCAGAAGGCCAGATCTCATATTCCTTTGGTGAAGAGAGATGTGTTCTTGGCATTCTAACATCATCTACATTCATAGTAGCAGAACTTTTGTGCTATATTTCATGTATTTTATGGAGATTGAGAAATTTTAGGAGTTCAGTATTTCCAGAGCTGCCCATGTACATTCTAGTATGTTAAGTTAAAAAATTAGTCACACTTCTTTTTAAATTATACATTATCTGTTTAAATATATGTCCTATAAAGTAGACTTTAAAGTCCAAACTTTATATAAATGGTGATTTACGTTATAGCGCACTTGAATCAGATGTACTTATTTCACTGGAAATTCTCTGAATTATTTAAACTGAAGTTAATTGGACTTTGGTAATCTAGAGGCAAGGATGAAATATTTGAATATGTAAATCTATTAAAATGATTTTTGCTTATGTGTAGTTCTCTATATAACTGGTTAAATTGACCTGGAATAGCTTTCATGTCTCATTTTATTAATGATTTTGTTTAAAACTAGGCTTCTGGGGTTACCTGTCAGGACAGGAAGAGAGGGAAATAGTGTGAGACTTAGCTTTGTTTTCTGGAGAAAGTCTCTGGTCAGAAACAGACTATGATTTTATCAGTGAGACATGAAATCAAACATGATAAACCTCTCTGATAAAACCGGAAACGAGGACTATGTGAAGTAATTGGAACTATTGGTAAATATTCCTAGTGATAACCTGAACATAGCCAAGAGTTTCTGCCTTAATCAGGGGAAAATACAGGCTTAAGATAGGAGCTGGGCAAAATTGTTAGACCAGTTAATGGATTTGTTTCCCTACTTTGCATCTCATTTTGTGGAAGTGATTTTCAGTGTCAATTGTTTGTTTAGACACAGAGTTTGGCCCTGTTGCCCAGGCTGGAATGGATCACAGCTCGTTGCAACCTCCACCTCCTGGGTTCAAGCCATCCTCCCACCTCAGCCTCCTGAGTAGCTGGGACTACAAGCACCTGCCACCACGCCCAGCTAATTTTTATATTTTTTGTAGAGACAGGGTTTTACCATGTTGCCTAGGCTGGTCTCAAGCTCCTGAACTCAAGCGATCTGCCCACCTCCACCTCCCAAAGTGCTAGGATTACAGGCATGAGCCACTGCACCCAGCCTTCATTGTCAATTGTAAAGCTCATGCTTGCTTTTCCTAACGGGGAGATTTTTGTGTCATAGTGTAATTCCCCTCTCTCCTCCTCTCATGAGTAGCTGTTATCCCTGTAAACTAAAGGGAAGAGAAATACCTGTAGTATATATTTAATTATTGAGGTCTCCTTCTTGAATTCTTTCATGCTAGTCCCATATGTAACAATTGTTTCCCTCCCAGAAGTGTGTTTCTGGAGGAGGGTGCTGACTTCTGTGCCCTCTGTGGCACCCTTAACCAAGGACTTGGATGTTTGCTCAGAGGTCTTTCAGCTATCTATCCATGACCATGGATGTCAGTTCACAGCCCTGGCTGTTCCTCAGAGATCTAAGTAACCACTTTGATGATTTCAGGGTTCTCTTAGATATTTGTAATAAACCGATTCCTTTATTACTCTAGTTCAGTTCTGTAGGCAGCTTTCTCAGCCCTTTGTTGTTTTTGTTGAGGAGAGAGTATGAAAGGTTTCTGTAAACCTTGTTTGGGATATTCAGTTCTCACAGTATCTGTGGGTAAGTAGCCCCCCAGCGTAGAAGCTTAATATTTGTTGCTGTCCTTGGATCATCAAACGTTGGGGGTGTGGATAGCAAGCTCTCTTGGCCATTGGTACCCTACATTATCATTATTGACTATTTAAAAGAAAGACTCTGACATCTCTTTAAAGATATCTGAGTTTTAGACATCTGAGTAACCAATAAAAGACATTCAGAAGTTTTTACACTCTTCAAAGCTGCTAAGTTATAGCCTGTGTCGTTACAGTAGTAAACTTTCCTCCAAGAGTTGACACTTTATAATTATGCTTAGGAATATTATTGACGAAATGGGATATCAGTATAAAGCAAATTTCAGCTTATGTTTGCATTGATAAACATGATTTATAAAAGGTAGATTACTTATAAGATTGAATATAATGTTTTTTTTGTTTTTGTTTTTGTTTTTGAGACAGCTTTGCTCTGTCACCCAGGCTGGAGTGCAGTGGCGTGATCTTGGCTCACTGCAACCTCCACCTCCCGGGTTTGAGGGATTCTTCTGCCTCAGCCTCCCAAGTAGCTGGGACTACAGGTGTGTGCCACCACACCCGGCTAATTTTTGTATTTTTAGTAGAGATGGGGTTTCACCATATTGGCCAGGCTGGTCTCGAACTCCTGACCTCGTGATCCGCCCACCTCCGCCTCCCAAAGTGCTAGGATTACAGGCGTGAGCCACTGCGCCCGGCAAGATTGAATATAATGTTGCTGGTGTTTTTACCTTAAATACTGGAATGTAATTTCTAAAATAAAGTTGTTTTTATATTTGCAGAAAAATTGAGAATGGAGTTCCCATATACTTGCCTCACCCCACACACACAATTTCCCCTATCATTAACCTCTCGTAGTATGGTACATTAGTTATAATTAATGAATAAATATTGATACATTATTGCTAACTAAAGTCTACACTCTATTTAGATTTCTTTTTTCTTTCTTTTTTTTTTTTTTGAGATGGAGTTTTGCTCTTGTTGCCCAGGCTGGAGTGCAGTGGCGCGTTCTCAGCTCACTGCAGCCTCCACCTCCCGGGTTCAGGCAATTCTTCTGCCTCAGCCTCCCAAGTAGCTGGGACTACAGGCATGCACCACCATGCCTGGTTAATTTTGTATTTTTAGTGGAGACAGGGTTTTGCCATGTTGGCCAGGCTGGTCTCAAACTCCTGACCTCAGGTGATCCGCCTTCCTTGGCCTCCCAAAGTATTGGGATTACGGGCATGAGCCACTGCGCCCGGCCTCTATTTAGATTTCTTTAGTTTTTACTTAATATTCTTGTATTCGTCTGTTTTCATGCTGCTAATAAAGATAGACTTGAGACCGGGCAATTTATAAAGGAAAGAGGTTGAATTGACTCACAGTTCCATAGGGCTGGGGAGGCCTCAGGAAACTTACAATTGTGGCGGAAGGGGAAGTAAACACATCCTTCTTCATATGGCAGCAGCAAGGAGAAGTGCAGAGTGAAGTGGGGGAAAGCCCCTTATAAAACCATCAGATTTTGTGAGAACTCACTATCCCAAGGACAGCATGGAGGTAACCAACCCCATAATTCAATTACTTCTCACTGGGTCCCTCCCACGGTGTGTGGGGATTATGGGAACTACAATTCAAGGTGAGATTTGGGTGAGGACATAGCCAAACCATATCAGTCTTTTTTCTGTTGAGGTATCCCATCCCCATAAGTTGTCATGTCTACTTAGGCTCCTTTTGGCTATGACAGAATCTCAGACTTTCATTGTTTTTGTTGTCCTTGATAGTTTTGATGAGTACTTATCAGATATACTATAGGTTACTCCTCCTGGAATTTGATGTTTTTCTTATGATTAGACTGGAGTTATGGGGTTCTGTGATAAGACTGTTTAACCTTGTAAGGAATTGCCAAACTCTCTTCCAAAGTGGCCGTACAATTTTGCATTCTCATCAGCAGTGAATGAGAATTACTGTCACTTCCTATCCTTGTCAATATTTGGTATAGTCAGCTTTTGGGACTTAAGCCATTCTAATCAATATGCAGTGGTTGGGATGTAATTTTTTTTTTTTTTTTTTTTTTTTTTGTGACAGTCTCACTTTGTCATCCAGGCTGAAGTGCAGTGGCATGATCTCAGATCACTACAACCTCCACCTCTTGGGTTCCAGTAATTCTCCTGCCTGGCCTTCCTGAGTAACTGGGATTATGGGCACCCACCACCATGCCCAGCTAATTTTTGTATTTTTAGTAGAGATGAGGTTTCACCATGTTGATCAGGCTGGTCTCGAACTCCTGACCTCAAGCAATTCACCTGCCTCGGCCTCCCGAAGTGCTGAGATTACAGTTGTGAGCCAACATGCCCAGCCAGGATGTAATTTTTTAAAGTTGGTCATTTAGTCTTACTGTCATACTTTTTAGGTTGAGCATTCCTAATCCAAAAATCTGAGATCCAGAATACTCCAAAATTTGAAACTTTTTGAGGCCAGTATTCTAATTTTCTAATTAGGGATGCTCTTTAATTTTTAAAGTTGGTCATTTAGTCTTACTGTCATACTTTTTAGGTTGAGCATTCCTAATCCAAAAATCCGAGATCTAAAATGCTCCAAAATTTGAACTTTTTGAGTGCCAGTATTCCAATTTTCTAATTAAGGATGCTCAACCTGTAAATATAATGCAAATATTTCAAAATCTGAAACAGTCAGAAATCCAAAACCCTTCTTGGTCCTAAGCATTTTGGATAAGGGATACTCAACTTGTATGATATCTGACTATAGAAGCATTAGCTTTCTCCTAATATTCCTCTTTAAGTAAGCATTAAGAAGAGAATATGTGTGCTATTTCCCATACAAAACCTGTTAGAGATATTTAATAGCATTTCACTTATTTTGTTAAAATTACCTATTCTCTTTGCTTTCATTACTAATCCCTTATCAGCTACATTCCATTGGTGTTAAGCTACATTCTAATGTTAATGTCTCCTGTGTGATTGCTTTTGGTTAATTATTCTCATTTTCCATTCTTCAAAGTCATTTTTGCTTTTTGTTTGTTTTTATTTGTTCATAAAGCTTTTTTGTTTCTGTTACATTATGTAGTTTTGTACCAATGGCTAGAAGCAGATCGTCATGGCAAGAGCCAAGGTGCTGCAAATACGACTTCAGGTAAAAATAAAATTAAGAACAAGGATGGGCTATTATAAATCATTATTTTAATTGACTGCAAGCCCATTATAAATGTTTCTTTATTCAGTTTTGCTTGGTCAGACTTGTAGATGTTATTTTATGTTTCTCTTCTCTCATCTGCATCTTAATTTTCATAAAGACTTCATTTGCTTCAAGCCTTGAAAACATGTATTCAGTAGTCTTTAAGCTCTCTTGGCAGATATTTCCTACTTTCTTAGGAGGAAAGGATTAATTGCAGCTTCAATTTAGTAGGAGGTTATTTGGCAGTGTTACTTGGAGTTAAGTTGATATGTAGTTGTAGCAGTCGTACAAATTTATAGTCCTTGTTTGTTTCAAGATAATATTTAAAAGGTAAATTTTAAGTACAGGATGCTTATGTAATTTTTCATTTCCTGGGAATCCAAATTCTTAGACTTGGTTATTTTCCTGTTTTTTTTTCCCAGCAGTAAATTCTAAGTTAGAGGTAAAACTTGTGTTTAAAATGAGAAGTATAGGTTGTTCCCCCATCTCTCATCCCCAAAAGTCATCACCAAGATTCTCTTCTTTTGGCCAGTGCTAGTAGGAATAGCTGCATCCAGTCATTTCTAAATTCTCTTTTTTTTTTTTTTTTTTGAGACGGAGCCTTACTCTGTCACCCAGGCTAGAGTGCGGTGGTGTGATCTTGGCTCACTGCAACCCCCACCTCCCGGGTTCAACTGATTCTCCTGCCTCAGTCTCCTGAGTAGCTGGGATTACACGTGCATGCCACCATGCTTGGCTAAGTTTTGTATTTTTAGTAGAGACAGGATTTCAGCACGTTCGCCAGGCTGGTCTCGAACTCCTGACCTCAAGTGATCCACCTGCCTCAGCCTCCCAAAGTGCTAGGATTACAGGCATGAGCCACAGTGCCCGGCCCATTTCTGAATTCTTAACAGTGATATCAGAATTTCTACATAGTTAGTTCTTCCCCTAATATCCTTCCAAATCATATTTGCCAAGACAGCTGTGTATATATAGCAATGATCTTTCCTGTTACCCCTTTTTTAAGCAGTCTAATAAGCAGTGGTGGTGGTGGTTTTGCTTTTCTTTTGTTAGATTTGTTACTGTTTTGTGGCTTTTTTTGTTTTTGTAAAATTATTTCTTTCTGGAGGTGGTTTCCTTCTTGTTGATTCTTTGTGTGTCAAGAAGGTGCAATGTTCCTTAGTTAACAGAACAATTATATTGAGAATGGCACTTTCATGACCTTTCTGATATATCTCCTGTCCCATTAATAACTTGATACATGAATGAAGATAATGTTATTTTAACTATACACAGGCAGGACTGAATTAAAAGGTAAGTGTTGCAAGGAGTTTTATGATAGGTTATGTCTTGTTTCTTCTGCTTCTGCAGTGTTTCATATTTTATTTACATTTGTGGATAATAAAAGCAAGTATTTCTGGTGTTAGAGGGTAGGTGAAGGAGAGGGTTTCTTGATGGCTATCATGAAGTTACGCTGTTGCTGTGTCAGTACACTATCAGCAGCTTAGACTATAACTGGGAGGAATTTTGTTTTTTCTCTAAAGTGAAATGAAAAGTAACCTAAAAAATCAATCTATCTTTCTTTTCTTTTCCTTTCTTTCCTCTCTTTCTTTCCCTTCCCTCCCCTCCCCTCTCCTCCCCGCCCCCTCCCCCTGCCCTTGCCCCTGCCCCTGCCCCTACCCCTCCCCTTGCCCCTCCCTGCCCCCTCCACTGCCCCTCCCCCTCCCCTTGCCCCCCCTGCCCCCTCCCCTTGCCCCTCCCTGCCCCCTCCGCTGCCCCTCCCCATGCCCCTCCCCCTCCACCCTCCCCATGCCGCTCCCCCTTACTTTCCTTTCTTTCGAGATGAGGTTTCACTATGTTGCTGGTCTCAAGTGATCTGCCCACCTCAGCCTCCCAAAGTGCTGGGATTACAGGCATGAGCCACCACATTCTGGCCAAGTAACTTTTTTTTAAATGAAGAAGTGAATAATTTACAATTTCTTAGTGTTCACAGGAAAATCTAGCATCAGCTTAAAAACATCATGGACTCTTCCTGAAATCAGTTCTGAGCCCTGAATCTGTTCTTCAGCCACATTGACTCTCATGGACAGTTTCACATTCCTCTGCTGACTTTTTGATGCTTACATACTCTAGAAGCTTGGTGCAAAAATTGATAAACTCTCCTTAAGGATGTCTGACAATTTCTCTTCTAGAAATGAATGCTCTCAACTCTTAGAAGATGGAAGTATGGAGTAGAAAAATACAGAGATGAAATGTTTGCCTAAATAAGTCAGAGGAATCTAAAGAAAATAATGATCATTAGCCAAGGACTTCAGTTAGAAATAGTAGTTTAGTTGCCTAAGCAAATGTATTTAAATTATGTGTCCTTGTTCAAAAAAATTCCTATGTATTTTATATTGTTGTCTCCAGCAAGATTTTTGAGTGTGACTTTTTCGTCCTTCTGCGATCTGTTTTGCATTCCAAGGTGGTTTTTTTTTTTCATATTTTTACCCAAAATAGAAACTGAGTCTAACTAGAAGTCAAATACAATTCATAAATCAAATTGCTTTGTGATATTTTTAATAGTATAAATACTGGTAAAGTGACATTTATCTTTTGCTGTAACAGCTAGTATTTTGCACTTAATTAGAACTCTAAAAGTAGGAAAACACACAACACAATAAAATTGTTGCAAGATCTTCTAGTTCCTTGATCCCAAATTTTTGACATTGGGAATTTAAGATCCGTCTACCTTAAAATATTTCATGAAACTAAAACATTTAGGGATAATAGGTCTTAAGGGAATTACTCTGGTTGAGGAGGTTAAAAAAACTAATCTGATAGCTATTATTGAATTTTCAATGTTTTACTTTTTAAAAAATTTATTAAAAAAAAAATAGGAAGAAAAGAAACGGGGTCTCACCATGTTGCCCAGGCTGGTTTCAAATTCCTGGGCTCAAGCAATCCTCCTACCTCAGCCTCCCAAAGTTCTGGGATTACAGGCATGAGCTACTGTGCCTGGCCTGAATTTTCTTAGTAATTAAAATGTAGCCTACTTTTATGTTTCCAGAATTTTGCCAGATAATGAATTTAACTTAGGATAGCTCATTTATTTTAAAAGGTTAGTATGTTTAATGTGTTCTGTCTACTAAACAGGATGACTCAGCAATGATGTTTCTAATTCTGTTAATTTTGTTACTGGAGAACCTGGATATGCAATCACATTTCTCAGAGATTTTTGTGGAAACTCAAGCAAAATTGCTTCCTTTGAGCACTGTAGCATGGGGGTCTAAGTGTGTATAAAATTTTAGGATCATAAGACATATGATTAGCTTAATGTAAGACTTTTCTTTTCTGAAGTAAATGTTTTCATATAGTTTATTATTACCACACACTGAAATGTGGACCATAATTAGGTTACAGCAATGATTATATTACCATATTTTGATTTTTAGTATCAGTTGAGTAGCCAGGATTTTAAAATTCAGATTCTGAAGTTTTAAATGCTGCTCTGTTGTTAACAGTTTTTTAGTTGTCCATCGGGATTTTACAATACAGATGGTTAGAGGCAGAAATTGAATC
Organism: Homo sapiens; assembly: GCF_000001405.40. NCBI lineage: Eukaryota > Metazoa > Chordata > Mammalia > Primates > Hominidae > Homo > Homo sapiens. The sequence continues at coordinate 31,496,023 of NC_000012.12, read as the reverse complement.
AGATCTCAACATTATCAGTCAGTAGTAGGACTATAAAATAAATAGAAAACTATGACATGCTTTTGGAAAAGTTCTAGATATTAACTATGTATTATTTGTTGTAGGCGAAAATTTTGACCAGAGTCCTTTGAGAAGAACATTCAAATCCAAAGTTCTCGCCCACTATCCTCAGAATATAGAATGGAACCCTTTTGATCAAGATGCGGTGAACATGGTATGTGTTTTTTTTCCCCTCATTTACTCTTTAGCCTTGTTTTCACTTTATTAATATGAAGGTAGTGACTGTATTTTGAATGTCTACCTTATTTCATTTCATTTATTCTTTAAGTGATTTTATAAGAAATGTGAGGCCGGGTGTGGTGGCTCACACCTGTAATCCCAGCACTTTGGGAGGCCGAGGCAGGTGGATCACCTGAGGTCAGTTTAAGACCAGCCTGACCAACATAGTGAAACCCCGTCTCTACTAAAAATACAAAAATTGGCCAGGTGTGGTGGCACATGCCTGTAATCCCAGCTACTCGGGAGGCTGAGGCAGGAGAATCACTTGAACCCAGGAGGCGGAGGTTGTGGTGAGCCGTGATCACGCCACTGCACTCCAGCCTGGGCAACAGAGCGAGACTCTGTCTCAAAAAAAGAAAAAAAAAGAAATGTGATACTCTCCTCATTTTAAAGATCTGGAAGCAGAAGCTCAGAGAAGCAAGTTACTTGCCCAGGGTTTCCATAGTTAATAAGTTTATACAATAGATCCTAAAAGCCCATTTTAGTTTCCTACTATTAAACTGTGTTGTGCATTTGTATTAATATGTAGAAGCTTTGATAAACAGTGATATTACTTTATTGGCCTGAGAGGAGCCTGATGGAAAGAGCCTGATTACAGTTCTCATGTTTCAAGGAATATTGTATGGTAGGCCTATAATTTGTCATTTTTACAGACAGTGTAAAGATGAAAAGCAACTTAATTGCGTTATTTAGGTACAGTAGAAATCTGAATTTGTATTATTGTTACCGGTGGATGGAGTCCAGCTTCTTGGTGTCTGGAACAAAAAATTGGACAAAACATACAAACAAAGCAAGGAAAGAATGAAGCGACAAAAGCAGAGATTTATTAAAAATGAAGGTACAATCCACAGGGTGGGAGCAGGCCCGAGCAAGCAGCTCAAGAGCCCATTATAGAATTTTCTGAGGTTTAAATACCCTCTAGAGGTTTTCCATTGGTTACTTAGTGTACACTCTATGTAAATGAAGTAATGGCCCACGATCAGTCTGTTTGGTTGTGGGAGGATATCAATCAGAAGCTGAAGCAAAGTTACACCCTACACAAACATACAACCAATCAGAGGCTGAAGTGAAGTTACAAAGTTACACTCCTATGCAAATGAAGACTTGGCCCACGACCATCCTGATTGGTTGTGGGAAGGAAACAATCAGAGGTACTTTCAGTTTTTAGTCTGTCATGCAGAAAAAGGGTAGGGGGAAGGTACAAAGGGAGTAGCCACTGGTCCTTTTGCTACTTGGGCATGGAAAGTTGGGGTTTTCCTTTTGATTTAGTTCTAGAAAGTCAGCATGAATCGGCCTTAGGTTCCCTGCCTCCAGACCCTGTTCTCCTGCCTCATAATGAGTTACCAGTGCTGATTAAATGTCTCTTTTATCCCTGCATGATGTTGTGCATCTATAAGCCCAGCTACTCAGGAGGTTGAGGCAGTGTGACTGCTTGAGCCCAGGAGTTTGAGACCAGAATGGGCACCATAGCAAGACCCTGTCTCAAAATAGGTAGGTAGGTAGGTAGGTAGGTAGGTAGGTAGAGGTAGGTAGGTAGGTAGGTGGATGGATGGATGGATGGATAGATAGATAGATAGATAGATAGATAGATAGATAGATAGATAGAAGATAGAGAGATAGTCAACCTTGAGAGGGTCTTAGAAATAAAGTAGGTCATAGTTTTCAGATTATTTAGGAAGGGCTCTTCTTAGAAGCCTGAATAATATTTGAGATGTTCATAAACTCTATGATTATATAATTCAGGGGGCCCCAAAGTAAGGAGGTAGCAGGCATGATAGATATAGAAATGAATTGGGTATATACGTAAGAATGGGAAAAAAATAAAAAAGATACAGAAATGATTAAAGGTGAACTGAGACACAGTGATAGCCATTGCTATTTTTGAGTTGTTTTGTTTGGTTTTTGTTTTTGTTTTTGAGATAGTCTCGCTCTGTCACCCAGGCTGGAGTGCAGTGGCACAATCTTGGCTCACTGCAACCTCCACCTCCTGGGTTCAGGCAATCCTCCTGCCTCAGCCTCCCGAGTAGCTGAGATTACAGGCGCACACCACTATGCCCAGCTAATCTTTTGTATTTTTAGTAGAGACAGGGTTTCACCATATTGGCCAGGCTGGTGTTGAACTCCTGACCTCAAGTGATCTGCCCTCCTTCAGCCTCCCAGAATGCTGGTATTATGAGCACATCCCACCACACCTGGCTCATTTTTGCATTTTTAGTAGAGATGGGGTTTTGCTATGTTGGCCAGGCTGGTCTTGTACTCCTGACCTCTAGTGATCCACCCGCCTCAGCCTCCCAAAGTGCTGGGATTACAGGCGTTAGCCACTGCACCCGGCCTCTTTTTTAGTATTTTAAAGATATTGTTAAAAGACTCCATTATAACCTGATAATCTAACAGAAGGAAATTAATATTCACTAGATGCCTGCTAGAGTACTTTATGTATGTTATTTTCACATACATGTTTACATGTACCCAGTGAGAATTCTTATATTTTCAAAGGTTAAGTAATTTGCCCAAAGTTAGGCAGTAAGACTCAGAAATTAAATCCAGATCATTTTTACTCTCTAGCTCACTTTTTTTCTCAACTGCCTTGCTGCCTTCCCAAAAGAAAAACTGTGTAACTGAGTTTTGATCTACACTGGAAATGTTATGGGTCACACTGGACCCTTTGTGATATTTTTGTATCACAGTAAACTCTTTCCAGCCTGGGCTCGCTCTAGGGAGGGGATAGCATGGTGCTATTTGTAAGGACAAATGCCTAAAGCACTTGGCACTTTGACTTTGATTCCTTACAGAGTACAATGTGGTTATTTTCCTAAACTGTTATACAATACTAAAATAATCAGAGATGCCATTTTGCTGGAAGTTAATATTGTAGATGCCTAGCGTCATCTTTGGTGAAGACTCTACTATAGATATTATGTAGAACACAACTGTTAGTTATCTTTATAAGACTTGGAAGAGTCCAGACAAGCATCTGACTAAAATAGTTGAACAGCAGTGACAAAAAAATAACTTATGAGCTGCTTATGCAGCAAATTAATAGAAAGGCATTTAGGAAAAGAGTGTTTAAATCAAGCAGTGGAAAACTGGATAAGAATATGAATAGATCACAATACTTAATCTTCTTAAATTAGTAAGATATTTCAAAATATAACTTATTCTGTGAGAAATCAGAATGGTATTCAAAGTGAGGTTCTAGCCTAAGCAACATAGGGAGGCCCTGTCTCTACAAATTAAAAAAGAAATAGCTGGGTGTGGTGGCACCATGCCTGTGGTCCCAGCTACTCTGGAGGCTGAGGTGGGAGGATCACTGGGGCCTGGGTACAAGTACGTTCTTACTATATGAATCCACAGTCATTTGGAACAAAATGCCACCCTTCATGTGTTTTCTTTCTTTTAATCATTTGAATGAATTAATAGTGAGATATCCATGATAGCTTTTGCCTCTATCTGCAAAACATTAATCTTTAAAGTAATTATCAGCTTCCTTGATCTTTGATATTTTCTTTACTCCTTGCCCCTGAGGTTATTTTATGTAAGCAGCAAAAGTTTCCCCCTGAAGAATAATCGCAAAGGCTGTGTTTTGATGGTTAAGCACCACATAGCATTTTTTTTATTGCTGCAAATCTAAAAGGATTTGCTTGTACTCCTGGAAAATCTCTGAAAAGCATCCCATTAAAGTAGTTTGCATTCGGGTCACAGATTTACTGCCTTTAATTTCCTCTTTGATTTACTAGTAAGTGCGTTTGTATGAAGCTGTAATTTATTCCCACCTAAAGATATAAAGCTTTGTCTTGCCTTTAGCAAAATTCCACCGCAGTGAGTCATCACCTTCTGTAATATTAGTCATTCCTCTAACAACAGTAGTGCTTTGAATAAAAGGTCATTAATTTCATACATAAATTAAGTACCCAAAGCAGTGAACTTTGTTAAATAAAATGTTTAATGTGTATGAGTACAGTGCAAATAAAATAGAAAATAAATACAAGTGACAGGTGAAATAATTCCTGAATTAGTTTTTTTTCCTCAGTTGCTGATCAGAGATTTTTATGAAAAAAAGTAAATATCACAGAACAGAAAGAACAATACAATAAACAGTCAATGTATGTATTAATCACCTAGAACTAACATATGTCAACATTGACATGTTTGCTTCAGAGCTCTACATTTCCTTTCCTTTCCCTTTCCCTTCCTCCCTTTCTTTGCTTTCTTTTCTTTCTTTCCCTTGTTTCCACAGTCTCACTCTGTCTCCCAGATTGGAGTGCAGTACATTTAATTAAATTAATTAATTTATTTGAGACAGTCTCACTCTGTCACCCTGGCAGTTCAGTGGTGCAATCTTGGCTTACTTACAACCTCTGCCTCCGGTGTTCAAGTGATTCTCATGCTTCAGCCTCTTGAGTAGCTGGGATTATAGTCGCGCACCATCACGCCTGGCTAATTTTTGTATTTATGGTAGAGACGGGGTCTCCCTATGTTGGCCAGGCTGGTCTCAAACTCCTGGCCTCAAGTGATCTGCCCGCCTCGACCTCTGTGAGCCACTGTGCCTGGTCTGCATTTCATTTTAAATGAAATAAAGCATTGCAAACAGAGCTGAAGGTCCCCCACCCCACTTTCACATCTCTTTGAGGTAATCTGCTTATTGGCATCCATGACTATGTAATATTCTAGTTGATAGATCTTATCTTTAAGCCTGTGTTGTACCTAAGAATTCATAGGAAGAAAACATGGTCAATAACTTTTAAGCAAACTGTATGAAAATATAAGGATTCTATTTTTTATGTCTGTCCTAATGAAACATCATAAATATATTTTAGGTAACAAAAGAGTAATAACTATTATAAAGCTCTTACTTTATAATTTGCTGTTAACTTTGATTACAAAGAAGGATATAGTGGAATGAAGAGCAAAGAGTAAACGGTGAAAGGTTGGCTGAAGAAACCTATTCAGATGCTTATCTTGTAAGAGTAAAAGGAAAAAGGGCTATATATACTTTTTGTAGACTTAGCAATTACTTGAATTTGAAATGGATAATCCCAAATTACATTCATAGGTTTGACATTAGAATGAAGATAAGCCCTCATTTTGAGCCAAGTTTAGGTTCAAGCTCACAATAAAATTTTTTTTTTTTCTTGAGACAGGTTCTGACTCTGTCATCCAGACTGGAGTGCACTGGTGCAATCTTGGCTCACTGCAGCCTTGACCTCCCATGCTCTAGCGATCCTCCACCTCAGCCCCCCAAGTAGCTGAGACTACAGGTGTGCACCACCACGCCTGGCTAATTTTTGTACTTTTTGAGGAGACGGGGTTTGGCTATGTTGCTTAGGCTACTCTCGAACTCCTGGACTCAAGCAATCTGCCCACCTCGGCCTCTCAGAGTGCTAGGATTACAGGTGTGATCCACGATGCCTAGCCATATCTCACAGTAAAATTATAGGAATGGGGCTTTCATTGCTGGAGGACCATTGCTGGAAGACCCTTTTGCCCCCGCCACCCCCATCCTCTCGCCCGTTTCCTTAACATTGCAGCTAGAATATTTCACTGGCATCTCAAATGCAACATATCCAAAACTGAATTCATTATTCGTCCCACCAGTCTTTTGTCAGTGAATGGTACAACCATCCACCTACTTGCCAAGTCCAACAATGTACACATCACCCTGAAAGTTCTCACTTACTCACCCTCTCCCATATATAATCAGTTATCTGTCTACTTCTCTCTGTTCCGTATACTCACCTTGGTCCAAACCATCAAGATCTCTTACCTGGACTCCTGCAGTAACCTGTCCATTTCATTCCTCATACTATAGCTTCTGCTTCTGCTGTTCCTTCTCTCTGGAAGGCTCTTCCACCTCTCCTTCACCTAGTGAATTCTTACTATTCCTTCAGACTTCACTGTAAACATTTATATAGAGAAGCTGCTCCTGACCATCACCTTCCACCGTCTTCCCAGCACTCAGGTCACCTTAGGTTCTCTTAGTACCTTGTATACCTTTTTGTAGCACCTATCTCAGTTGCAGTTAACCAATTACTTAGCTAGTAGTCAACTGTGTATCTCGTGCTTAATGTAAGCACCATGAGAACAGGAGCAGTGTCTCTTATTCATTGTTATATCCCTAGCTTTGCGCATAGTAGATGTTCAAATTGTTGAATAAATGAAGTGATACTTGCTTACAATACTTCTCTTCCCTGTCCTTGACTAGGTGTGACCTCCACTGCAAAACCATCTCTTAAGCAGGAGTAGTTACTCTGTCTTTTCTTATGATATCTCGAACAGAGTCCGTAGCAACACTGATCACATTTTTTTGGTAACTGCTGGTTTCTGTGTCTGTCTTTCCTACTAGACTGTGAACTCCCTAAAGGAAAGGATTATTTTTATCTTTGTCTTTTGAGTTACCAAGATCTAATGCAAAACATGGGACAAAATAAGTGTTTATGGAAGGAGGGAGAGAAGAGGGGAGGGAGGGAGGGAGACATTCTGAGAAATGTGTTGTTAGGTGATTTTATTGTGCAAACATCATAGAGTGTATATACACATACACAGACCTAGGTGATATAGCCTACTATACTTCTAAGTTATATGGTATAACGTATTGCTCCAGCCGTTGTCCTATAGGCAGTCCATTGTTGACCAGAGTGTGGTTATACAGTATATGATTGTATTTGCATAATGAGGGAGAGGCCATGGAAGTCATAGAACTACAAGATGTGGAAAAAGGAATTTTAAAATTCTAGCCAAACTGCCTGAAACGGTCTAGAGAAATATAAGAACATTTGCTGACTCAAACTGGGAAAGTTACACACTTGTCATTATAAGCCTGCTTTGGCTAAAGTAATCTGGTTACTAGTAGTAGTCTGATCATCAGTGACACCTCTAATTTTTAGTTGTTTTATTGTGGGATGGTGAGGGGGTATTGTTAGTAGATAGCAAAGTTAAGGGTTAATTAGAAATGTTTAATACCGTGATAAACAAATCTTGATTTATATTTCAGGTTTTCTGAGATTTCTTGTAGTTCCTGACAGTTTAACAATTCTGATGAAACTCAGGTTTTCTGAGAAAGTATCTTGTAGTTCCTGATATAAAACAGTACTGTATATCTTTTAAAAATGGAAAAATAATAGCATTTTGCAGTTCATGTTTCCCGATTAGATATATAGTTCTTACTTTTTTTGATTTGTTGGAAGAGCATTTAGGAAAAATTCTTACATCTGTTGTCTGTAGCATAGAAAGCCATTCTTCACTTTGAGTACAACTTTTGGCAAGCTTTTTCTGTAAATGTTTGAATGTGCGCTCAAGAAAGCTACAAACCCTTAAGGGAATATTTGGCAGCTGTTCAACAGCAGTTGAGCTATGATTTTGTGATTTAGGATGACAGGAACGCCTATCAATTAAATTAAATCTTTATGTTGACTTTGGTGGTCACTATGTTTCTGTATTGCCTACTTGATGGAAAAAGAATTACAAGCTGAAGTCCAGGCACTGTGGCTCACACTGTAATCCCAGCACTTTGGGAAGCTGAGGCGAGTGGATCACTTGAGACCAGAAGTTCAAGACCAGCCTGGCCAACATGGTGAAACCTCGTCTCTACTAAAAGTACAAAAAAAAAAAAAAAATAGCCGGGTATGCACGCCTATAATCGCACACACTTGTAATCCCAGCTACTTGGGAGGCTGAGGCAGGAGAATTGCTTGAACTCAGGAGGTGGAGGTTGCAGTAAGCTGACATCACACCACTGCATACCAGACTGGGCGACAGAGTGAGATTCCGTCTCCAAAAAGACAAAAAAAGAATTACAGACCAGATCAAGAGGTGAACTAAGCCTGGTGCTTTACCCCCAGCTGTTTTTGTTTGTTTTCTTGTTCATTCATTTATTCATTCAACCAATTGTTATATGCCATGCACTGTGCTAAACAAGTTTGAGTTTAGCCTGGAGCAAGAATAATTCAAATTATCCCTTCTACAATCTTTATTGACTACAATAAATGTGTCAAATGAAGTTTTTGGGTTTTTAGGGTTTTTTGTTGTTTTTGTTTGTTTGTTTTTTTGAGACAGTCTCACTCTGTCTTCTAGGCTGGAGTGCAGTGGTGCAGTCTTGGCTCACTGCAACCTCTGCCTCCCGGATTCATGCGATTCTCGTGCCTCAGCCTTCCAGGTAGCTGGGGCTACAGGTGTGTCCCACCACGCCCGGCTAATTTTTTGTATTTTTAGTAGAGGCAGGGTTTCGTCATGTTGCCCAGGCTGGTGGTCTTGAACTCCTGAGCTCAGGCAATCCACCCGTCTCAGCCTCCCGAAGTACTGGGATTATGGGTGTGAGCCACTACACCCAGCCAAATGAGTTTTTATTCATGCTATCAGCAGAGCAACTCATTAACTTGTTATGATGAAATCAGCCTTAATGTGAACGTAGAATTATTAAAAGATTCTGCCATAGCCTTTCCTTATACAGTTATTCCTAAGACTAGGAATAAGTGGCTTTTACCCCCTACCAAATCCAGGTATTCATAGGTTTTACCTAAGTCTATATCTCATTCTATCCAAATATACATAGTAATTTAATATGTAAAAGAATTGAGTAAATCTGCCTTAGTCCTTTCCACATCTCATATTCAATGATATGAAATATGAAGACATTTTCACTGGTGCACTAATGCTGAGCTTCACAGTTTTTTCTTTTTACCCATGTTATCAGTCACCACCTGTTATGGCCCCAAATGGTATATTATTCCATTGCAGTTCCCTTGAATGTTTAAAGTTATTGAAATGAAGTACTAGCCCTTGAGTAGCTGGCAATGTAGAGATCAAACAGAATTATACAATACTAGTAATGTGTATGTTTATATAATGTACATATGTTTACAGTGGTGCAAGACTTTAATTGCTTCTCCACAATAAATACTTTTTAGAGGAGTAACATTTTATGGCATGCAAAAGATGAAGAGAACACTATTTTTTATGGAAAGGTAAAGGAAGACCTCTCTAAGGTAGTATTTATGTAGAGACTTAAGGGAAGTAAGGAAGTATTTTGATTATCTATCGCTGCATGACAATCCATCCGCCTACCAGTTAATGGCTTAAAATAGGGCTTGGCAATTTTTTTCATGAAGAACCAAATAATAAGTAGTTGAGGTATTGTGGGCATACAGTTTCTGCCACAGTCACCCAGCTCTGCTGTTGTAGTGTGAAGGCATCCATAGACAGTGCATAAGTGGATGGTTGTGACTGAATCCCAGTGAAACTATTTACAGATCAGGTGGCAGATTGTATTTGACCTAAGGGTTTTTCTTACTCCATTCCTCCTGCTAAAATAAAATACTTCAGACTGAGTAACTTACAAGGAATAAGAATTTATTTCTCACAGTTCTAGAGGTTGAAAGTACAAGATCAAGGTGTCTGTAGGTTTAGGGTCTAATGATGGCCTAGTCTCTGCTTCTAAGATGGTACTTTGTTATTGTGTACTCCAGAGAGGACAAATGTTGTATCCTCACATGGCAGAAAGCACTAGGGTGCTGCTCCCTTCAACCTTTTATAAGAAGGACGAATCCTTTCATGAGGGCAGAGCCTGCATGACTTAATCACTTCCCAAAAGTCCCCACCTTTTAATACCGTCACCCTGAAGTGATGTTCCAGCATATGAATTTTGGAGGCACACATATATTTAAACCCATAGCAGGGCTGTTGTTTGCTGACCCTTGATTTAAAGCAACAAAATCATTACTTAGCCTACATATCTGCAATGTAGGTAGCTTTTGGTTGGCTGCGCCTGTATTCTACTTGGTGTTAGTTTGGAAGGTTTGAAGTCTGAGGACTGAAATCATCTGAAAGCTCACCCACTCACAGGCCTGTCTCCTGGACCAGGCATATAGCTAGGGCTCCTTCTGTCTCTGTGTGGTCTTTCATTTGGTCTCACCAGTCAGGCAGCTTCAGGCTAGCTAAACTTTTTATATGTTGCCTCAGGGCTCCCAGAGTGTGTTACCAGGTTACCAGAGAGAGAGAGAGAGAGAGAGAGAGGAGATGGAAGCTGTATTGCCTTTTTTAGCCTCTGCTCAAAAGTCACTCTGTCACTTGTCACTGCTGTTGCATTTTACTTGACTAGGCCAGGGGTGGGCATACATGGCCCCCAGGCCAAATCTGTCCAGCTGACTGTTTTTATAAATAAAATTGTGTTGGAACAAAACCATACTTACGTGTTTAAAGGTTGGTACAAAAGTAATTGTGGTTTTGGACAGAATTTTAAATCATAACTAGGCTCAAGCACATCCTTATTAATCAAAATAAGAACCATTACAATCAACACATTTTTGCCAATGAGAAATAAGTTTGTTTATTCCTGTAACGTAAAATATCCGTGCTTTGGGATTTGATGAACTCTTGGAAAGCATTTTCTGCATCCTGCTGGTTGTGGAAGCGTTTTCCCTGCAAAAAATTGTCGAGATGCTTGAAGAAGTGGTCAGTTGGCAAGAGGTCAGGTGAACATGGTGGATGAGGCATGACTGCATAGCCCAATTCGTTAAACTTTTGAAGTATTTGTTGTGTGATGTGCGGTCAGGCATTGTTGTGGAAAAGAATTGGGCCCTTTCTGTTGACCAGTGCCCGCTGCAGGCTTTGCAGTTTTTGATGCATCTCATCGATTTGCTGAGCATACTTCTTGGATGTAATGATTTCGCCAGGATTCAGGAAGCTGTAGTGGATCAAACCAGCAGCAGGCCACCAAACAGTGACCGTGACCTTTTTTTGGTGCAAGTTTGGCTTTGGGAAGTACTTTAGAGCTTCTTCTTGGTTCAGCCACTAAGCTGGTCATCGCCGGTTGTCTAATGAAATCCACTTTTTGTTGCACATGACAATTTGATTGAGAAATGGTTCGTTGTTGCTGTGTAGAATAAGAGAAGACGACACTTGAAAATGATGCTTTTATTTTATTTTGTTTTGTTTTGTTTTGTTTTGTTTGAGATGGAGTCTCACTCTGTTGCCTAGGCTGGAGTTCAGTGGCACAATCTCGGCTCACTGCAACCTCCGCCTCCCAGGTTCAAGCAATTCTCCTGCCCCAGCCTCCTGAGTAGCTGGGTCTACAGGTGCATGCCACCACGCCCTGCTAATTTTTTGTATTTTAGTAGAGACAGGATTTCACCATGTTGCCCAGGCTGGTTTCAAACTGAGCTCAGGCAATCCGCCTGCTTCAGCCTTCCAAAGTGCTAGGATAACAGGCATGAGCCACCGCACCTGGCTCCAAGATGACGATTTTTTAAAATTTCCACTCAGCTCATGAGGCACCCACTTACCGAGTTTTTCCACCTTTCCAATTTGCTTCACATGTCAAACGGCCATAGAATGGTCGACGTTGAGTTCTTCAGCAACTTTTCATGTTGCTGAAGAGGGTCAGCTTCAGTGATTACTCTCAATTGATCATTGTCAACTTCTGATGGCCAGCCACTATGCTTCTCATCTCCAAGGCTGCCATCTCCTTTTCAAAACTTCTTGAACCACCACTGCACTGTGCGTTAGTTAGCAGTCCCTGGGCCAAATGCATTGTCGATGTTGTGGTTGTCTCCACTGCTTTACGACCCATTTTGAACTTGAATAAGAAAATTGCTCGAGGCCGGGTCGGGTAGCTTACACCTGTAATCCCAGCACTTTGGGAGGCCAAGGCGGGCAGATCACTTGAGGTCAGGAGTTTGAGACCAGCCTGGCCAAAAATGGTGAAACCCCGTCTCTACTAAAAACACAAAATTAGCTGGGCATGGTGGTGCAGGCCTGTAGTCCCAGCTACTCGGGAGGCTGAGGCTTGAACCTGGGAGGCGGAGGTTGCAGTGAGCCAAGATTGCGCCACCGCACTCCAGCCTGAGTGACAGAGTGAGACTCTATCTCAAAAAAAAAAAAAAAAAGAAAAGAAAAGAAAACTGCTCTAATTTGCTTTTTTGTCTAACATTTTCAGTCTAAAATCTAAAATAAACAGCAAGTAATAAGTCATTAGCAAAAAAACATAAAGCGAGAAATGCCCATTAAAATGATGGTCCAGGCTCAGTGGCTCAAGCCTGTAATCCCAGCACTTTGAGAGGACGAAGCAGGCGGATCATGAGGTCAGGAGTTTGAGACCAGCCTGGCCAACATAGTGAAACCCATCTCTACTAAAAATACAGAAATTAGCCAGGTGCAGTGGCAGACGCCTGTAATCCCAGCTACTTGGGAGGCTGAGGCAGGAGAATTGCTTGAACTTGCGAGGCAGAGGTTGCAGGGAGCCGAGATCGCGCCACTGCACTCCAGCCTGGGTGACAGAGCAAGACTCCGTCTTGGAAAAAAAAAAAAAAGATGTATACTATAACCACATTTATTTAAAAAGTGTATTCCAATGTCAAATGGCAAATTCCAACAATGCAAAAACCACAGTTACTTTTGCACTCACCTAATACAATGTGGAGTGGAGCAGTTGTGACAAAGACTGTAATGGCCTCCAGAGCCTAAAATACTTATCTGTCTCTTTATAGAAAAAGTTTCCCAGATCCTGGTATAGGCACTCTCAGCAGCCCACCCAGGTTCAAGGAGAGTGAGCTCCACTTCTTAATGGGGAAGTGTCAAGGTTTGGAAGAGTGTGTGAAAGTAGAAATATTATTGGAGCTATATCTGCCACAAGGAATGAGTCATGTGGATACCAAGGGGAAGAAAGCTGCTGGAAAAGGGAAGAGCAGATTTTGATGGGAGCACGCGGGGTGTGTTCATAGAACAGTAACGTGCCATTGTTGCTGGAGCAGAGTGGGTGAGTTAGAGAGTATAAGATGAGGGCAGAGAGGTTGTTGGGGGCTGAGTCATGCAGGGCTTCCCTGCAGGCCATTATAAGGACATCAGCTTTTAGTGAGATAAGAGTCCATTGGAGAATTTTGGCAAGAGTGACAAGATCTAACATATTTTTTAAGGATTGCTTTGGCTCTTATAAGGGAAATAGATTATGGGGGACAAGGGCAGAAACAGGCTGTTACATCCAGACAAGAAAAGAGGGTGACTTAGATTAGAGTGGTAAGCGTAAAGATCAAAACAATTACTTTCTGACTCAGGAGGCTGAGGCGGGAGGATTGCTTTTACCCAGGAGTTTGAGGCTGCAGTAAACTGTGATTGTACCACTGCACTTCATCCTGAGTGATAGAGCAAGACCTCACCTCTAAAAAAGAAAAAAAAAAAGAAGCAACAGCAATTAGTTTCTGCATGTATTTTTGAAGATAGAATTGATAATATTTGCTGATGGATTGGATAATGGGGTAAGTGAGAAAGAGAGGAAGAAGTTAAAGATGACTCCAAGGTTTTTGTCCTGGGCAAATTAGATGGATGGAATTACAGAAAAGACTGATATAAGAAGAAACTGATTTGGAGGAAGAAATCAGAACTTCAGTTTGGGACATGGTAAGTTTGAGTTGCCTATTAGACATCTTGATGGGATTGTCAAGTAGTTACTCAGTTAAGAGTCAGGTTCATGAGATTGTAGATTTGGGAGTTGAAAGAGTATATTTAAAATCATGGAAGAAGTTGCTCTGGAAATGAACTTGGATAGAAAAGAAACCCAAAATGTGGCACAATCATGACATGAGCTTCAAAGCCAATAGTTTTTAGGGTAAAGGAAAGGACCACAATCTGAAATGGCTGTGAGGAGCAGTTTGGACACCCACCCGCCTTCATGCTTAATGACAATTGTGTTGCATTAATCCTATCCCACCATCAAGATTTTGTTTTTAAGCAGTGGGAACCCAGAAATCTTAACACTGAAAGAATTCCACTCTACAGAATAAATGAAAGTGGAATGTGCATAGGGGAAGAAGGGACACTGGCCCTCTCAACTTCTTCCTCTAGCCTCTCACTCCCTTCCAAGGCCCTGAGACATTCCTGCTGCCTCTTTGGAACCCCTTTGAAAACCACTCCCCTTAGTGTTCCAAGATGGATGTGCTAAGAGGCACGTCTAATTCTGTCCCTCTCCTAAAAACCCTTCAGAGGTTTCCCATTGTCCTCCCCACAGTTCTAACATGGCCTACCAAGGCCCTTCATGGGCTAGCCCCTGATTATTTCTCTTGCTTTCTCTCACGTCCTCCCACCTTGCATTCTCTGCCCCACCCACACTGACCTGTTCAGTTCCTCAAACTCTTCTGGGCTTTTGCACATGTCCTCTCTGCCTGGAATCTTCTTTATCCACTAAGACCTATACTCGTCCTGAGGTTTCAGTTGGGCTTCATTTTTTCCTGGTAGCTCCTTCTTTTCTAATGTGTGTCTTCCTACTATTATATGTTTTTCCCATAGCAACCCTTATTTACCCTATCATAGCACTTCCCTTACTTTATAGTTTATGATTTTTAAAACTTACCTGTTAACCTTACTCGACTGGAAATACCATAGGACCATGGGCCATGTCTGTCCTTCCCACCATTGTATCATAGGGCCCCTCTCATAAAAGGCACTTAATAAATGTTTTTTGACGGTTTGAATGAAGAAATAAAGGAATTGTATTTTCTTGGTAATGTGGGGATGTGGGAGACAGTCTAAATTTTGTACCACATCAGTTATTAAATATAGAAAAATAGTAATAATATATGGTTAAATTATTTCTATGTAAAAAGCATATTGCAATACAAAAATAGAAATATCTAAATATGAATAATGAGTATTAGGATGGTTGAATTACAAGTTCTGTTTTCCTTAGTATATTTCAACTTTTCTGTAATTTCACTTCTTTTATTTAAAATGTTTTAAAGAATCAATTCTAATTTTCTGTGCATTTTAAGTGTCTTAAATATAGCATCTTTAGCTCCTCTGGGTAATTTTGTTCTCAAGTTTCCTCAATCCTGGGTAGTTCCCAAGAACTAGAGCATAATCTCTACTAGAAGTAATCTAAAATGCCTTGTTTCTGTGCTTCTGCTTTAGTAGATCAAAAAGCTTTCAATTTCCAAAGTTTCTTTTTCTTGGATAAAATACCATACTATTCAAAATAGCAAAGATGACACTGTTGTTTTTATTATTCTTTGTTTAACTTTTTTCCACTTCCTAAATGAGCCTTTTCCTATTTCCCTGTATTAAATACTTGAGTACTATTTTTGTGAAGTGCTTTTTAATATTTGTGAAATGCTTTTGCCTACTCTGTCTTCAAGTCGTTGATACAGCAACTATTGTAGATAAAGGAACTGAGGCTCACAGAAGTTATATGGCTTGCTAAAGGCCACAAGCTTGGTTAGAGGTTTACTCTGGGACTAAATCAGTGATTCTCTTGTTCTTAGTAAAGCCCCTTGCATGTAACATCACACAGTAAAAGTTTTTCCCTTGTATATACTCCTTTTAAGAATAATTTTATATACATGTGTATGAGGAATTTATAATATATTTCTAATTTAAGGCTATTGCGAATATTAAATCTGGATAAAACCTGTCTTTTTGAATCCTGTTATGTTAAAAAAACAACATTTATTTCTGGCTTGAAGTTATTTGTGTACTGCATTCTGATTTTTTTTTTTCTTTCTTTCACAGTTGTGCATGCCTAAAGGGCTATCTTTCAGGACACAAACGGACAATAAAGACCCCCAGTTTCACTCATTTATAATTACCAGGGAAGATGGTTCTCGCACCTATGGTTTTGTTCTCACTTTTTATGAAGAAGTTACAAGTAAGCAAATCTGCACAGCAATGCAGACACTTTACCAGATGCACAACGCTGAGCATTACAGCAGTGTGTATGCTTCATCTTCCTGCAGTATGGACTCATTGGCAAGTAGTCTTGATGAAGGAGATACAACTTCCCTTTTGAAACTCCAGCGATACAACTCCTATGATATTAGCAGAGACACCCTGTATGTTTCAAAAAGTATATGCTTGATCACACCGTTACCATTCATGCAGGCCTGCAAGAAATTCCTTATCCAGCTTTACAAGGCTGTTACCTCACAGCAGCCACCACCCTTGCCACTTGAAAGCTATATCCACAATATTCTTTATGAAGTACCCCTTCCACCTCCAGGGAGGTCACTGAAATTTTATGGTGTTTATGAACCTGTCATCTGCCAGAGGCCTGGGCCCAGTGAACTCCCCCTCTCTGATTACCCCCTTCGGGAGGCATTTGAGCTCCTGGGATTAGAGAACCTGGTGCAGGTGTTTACCTGTGTTCTTTTAGAGATGCAAATCCTTCTCTACTCACAAGGTAGGTTTTCCTTGGATTTTACATTTTCCAAAAACAAGTACTTTTGCTCCCAACTACTGTGTTTCCATGGGGTATATTATTAGAACCGAATAATGATCACAGTCTTTTCTGTTTTGTGTAAAGGGAGCAGGTATGGTGGGACCAGCGGCTGAGATGAGACTGCTGTTTCTCTTTGAGGTGGCAGTCAGTGACTGCAGAGAGAAATAGGAAGGAACACAAGTGTTAACTTGGCTGATTTGGGTATATTTATTTATTAATGGAAATAGCCCTTTTTTCCTGATAATATATAATCGTCATTAAGAAAACATTTTTTCTTCATCATAATGAGAGTGAGAGAACTCTGTTACTACCAGAAACGTGTAGACTTCCCATTCTTTATGGATTAGTAAAGGTTCACATCAAAACTCAGCGAACATTGAAAAGGGATAAATGAAATTGTTGACTCTGCAGCTTCCTGAGGCAATCAACTTTGGATCTTTGCCTGTGGGAGCATTTCATCTGAGTGAGAGAAAAGGTGAGCAGGCATGAGACAGATGACTTTCCCAGGTCTAACAGTTCTGCCAGAGTTGTGTGTGTGTGTGTGTGGTTTTTTGTTTATGTTTTTTAATCTCAGAAGGAAGTTATCTTTGTGGTATCTTTCATTCAAAGTTCTTCCAACACATATTAAGAAAATAACAAACTATGGATTTTATTTTACCAGTACATTTGTGAAGACTAATGCTGAGCCTAGACTAGGATACTAGTTGTCATCTGAATATGAATGTGTAGAGAAAATAGAGATGCTATGTCTTAATGGATAGTGAATTGAAGGAAATTATAAAATAGTACCTGTACACTGATAGATTCTTCAAAAAAGGTTACACAAATATTTGGATTCACTTTTTTTTTTAGACAAGTTCTCACTCCGTCACCCAGGCTGGAGTGCAGTAGTGCAATCATGGGTCACTGCAACCTTGACATCCCGTGCTCAAGCTGTCTTCCCACCTCACCCTCCTGAGTAGCTGGTACTATAGGAATGTGCCACCGCATCAGCTAATTTTTTATTTTTTGTAGAGACGGACTGTCACTGTCTTGCCCTGGACTCTCAAAATCCTAGGCTCAAATGATCCTCCTGCCGTGGCCTCCCAAAGTGCTGGAATTACAGGCATGAAGCATTGCACCCAACTGGGGTTAGCATTTTGCTAACTTGTATTTAAGCTGGCAGAATTGTAGTGCAATCCCGACTGGTGCCGTCAAGCTTATTTTACCACTTTCCTTTTTTTATTTTTCTATTTTAAATTATAAGTGGGGCTGAGCCAAGTAGACTATATTTGTACTTCCCCATCTTGTGTGTATGTTGACACTATTTGTGTGTTGACAGCCGTTCACAAGGTTGTATTTTCTTCAGTTTATCCAACATAATGTTCTTTGATAATGTGTTTCATGTCTCAATTTTTGTTGTCAGGAAGTTATTCTCTAATGACCAATCTAAATTCTTTCCTTTCTTCTTTCACCCACTTTCTTTTTATATGTATATATTTAAAATATATTTTAGTGAAACACTTTCTCATCATCTTTAGATAAAAAAAAAATCCATTTTTTAATCTGAAGCTCCTTGGGCATTAGGAGTTAATTGCTTTCTGCTCCACAGATTTCAGATGCCACTGCACTAATTCCCCAGTGCTCTTGAGGCAGAGCTTAGACATGTCCTCCTCAGTTGGAAATCCTTGTGGCAACTTCAGGGGCTTGATTCTTACTGACTGTTAAACCACTTTCAGTTTTGCATTCACTGAAGCAATATGCTTGTGAACTTGATGGATATGTGTGTTTTCTAATCTGAGCATCTTTATTATGTCTTTTTCCCAATATGGACACCTTTTTGTACTTTTTTATTCTGGTAACAATATGCAGTTTCTGAGGATTCTGTGGATCTCCGTCATATTTTTCATGATCTGCAAGTGAAGGCTGAAACGCTTTATATGGAATTCTTGACCTGGTAAATTTGTGATGAATCCAATCTATGTAAACGAGAGACTTCACACCTTTTGTCCCAGTCTGTAGTTCATTTTGCCTCTTGAGCTACTGACAGCAAAGTCCCTGCCATAAGTGTGGTGGCTGTTCTCTTTAGAGAGAGCGCCTGCTAAATATTCAGCATGAACCTTCCCACCAGCAGAAGCTGAGGACTCACTGCTTCCATTATTACTTACAGATCACCTTTTTGTATCTGAAAAATTTTACCTTAAGTAATTCTCTCTTCCTTTCTTCCTTTTATTTCCCTGAATGGAGTAGGGATTAGAGAATGGCTAGAAGGGGCAGAGGCTTGGAGCTTAATACCTTATGGTGTTTTAGCCCATTAGAAAAA
Source organism: Homo sapiens (assembly GCF_000001405.40). Taxonomy (NCBI): domain Eukaryota; kingdom Metazoa; phylum Chordata; class Mammalia; order Primates; family Hominidae; genus Homo; species Homo sapiens. Next base: position 31,477,247 of record NC_000012.12, on the reverse strand, counting down.
AATAACTTTTTTTTTTTTTTAAGACAGAGTCTCGCCCTGTTGCCCAGGCTGGAGTGCAGTGGCATGATCTTGGCTCACTGCAACCACCGCCTCCCGGGTTCAAACAATTCTCCTGCCTCAGCCTCCCGAGTAGCTGGGACTATGGGTGCGCACCACCACACCCAGCTGATTTTTGTATTTTTAGTAGAGACAGGGTTTTCACCATGTTGGTCAGGCTGGTCTTGAACTCCTGACCTCATGATCCACTCGCCTCAGCCTCCCAAAGTGCTGGGATTACCGGCGTGAGCCACTGTGCCTGGCCGAAAAAAAGAACTTTGTATTCTAGACTTAGAAGAAATCTTAAAGGCCATTTTCTTGAATCTTGAAGTTCAATTTATTTATGTTCTGCCTAGAGAAGCAATTTGGGTTAGAAAGAATATTGGGGGTGGGTGGGTTCTTTTGTTTTGCCTTTAATTTTTAGAGATGGGGTCTCACTGTGTTGCCCAGAATGGAGTACAGTGTATTCACAGGCACAGTCTTAGCACACTGCAGCCTCAAACTCCTCAGCTCACACCATCCTCCCATCTCAGCGTCCCGAGTAGTTGAGACTGCAGGCACATACCACCATGCCTGGTTTAGAGTATTGGTTTTTGAAGTCATAACAATCCTGGGTTCAAATGTCTACTCTGTCATTTATTAACTATACCCATGGGCGAGTTAGGTAATCCTCCTGTGTGACAGTTGCCACATCTCTATAGGGATAATAGTTTGGGTTTTTTTTTTTTCTCCTTTCTCACTGATCTATTATGACAATTAAATAAGAAAACGTGTATAAAATACTTAGGGTATAATTGACACTGACTAAATGATAGCTGATGCTATTATAATAATTACTAGTTTTATTAGTCCCATATAATCTTCTATAAATTACACTTATCTCTAAGTTGTGAAGGTTCAACATATTACTACATTTAACATAAAACCTTTTTAAATGATACAGTCAAGAGTTTATTCCAGAGTTGAGAACCTAATAAATGTTCTTTTATATTGTATACCATGCTTTTTTTAGAAGGCAAAAAAAAACTCCAAAAGCTTCCATTATCACACTTCCTCTTTTATTTTTTATTTTTATTTTTTTTTATTGAGACGGAGTCTTGCTCTGTCACCCAGGCTGGAGTGCAGTGGCGCAATCTCAGCATATTGCAACCTCCACCTCCTGGGTTCAAGCGATTCTCGTGCCTCAGCCTCCCAAGTCCCTGGGACTACAGGCGCGCACCACCATGCCTGGCTAATTTCTTTGTATTTTTAGTAGAGATGAGGTTTTGCCATGCTGGCTAGGCTGGTCTCGAACTCCTGACCCTAGGTGATCTGCCTGCCTTGGCCTCCCAAAGTGCTGGGATTACAGGTGTAAGCCACCGCACCCGGCCCACACCTCCTCTTTTAAGTAGCAGGTTATGTCTCACCGTTTGTGGTCTGTCCTGAGCTCTCCTATTTCTGCTCTTTTTTTGTTTGTTTGTTTTGAGACAGGGTGTCACTCTGGTGCCCAGGCTGGAATGCAGTGACATGATCGTAGCTCACTGCAACCTCAAACTCCAGGGCTCAAGCAACCTTCACCCCTCAGCCTCCTGAGTAGCTGGGACTACAGGCATGCATTACCATACCTGACTAATGTTTTTTATTTTTAGTGGAGATGAAGTCTCACTACACTGCCCAGGCTGGTTTGAAACTCCTGGGCTCAAGCGATCGTCCTGCCTCAGCTTCCCAAAGTGTAGGGTTTACAGGTGTGAGCCACTGCTTAGCTTGTCCTGTTTGGTTTGTGGAGTCTGTTCAGGAGTTTTAGCTCATTAATATCTACCAATTTATTTCAGTTTCAAATGAAGAAGAATAAGCATTTATGGATATGGTTTTATACTCTATTTTTTTGTAATCTGTATGCCGAGAACAACAGAGTGAATCCTGAGATTATAGAGCTAGATTTTTAAAAAATTTAAAGTGACATACCCCAAAAAATTGCCATACAGTAAATTTATAACCATTCACTAAAATCACTCTATGTTAGGAATTGTGCTACAAAAAGGCATTGTATATTTTGGATCTTTTCCCTACATTTAATCCTCTCAACAGCAGTGAGTTAGTGCTGTTGTGCATTTTTTGTTGAGGAGGAGATTGAGGCTTGGGGAAACTAAGTAATCTGCCCAAGATGATACAGCTAGTAAGTAATGTAGTACTACTAAGAATTGGGTTTCATCAGTCTTTTTTCAGATGCTTAACCACTGTGTTAACTGTATTGGGCACTGCACTTAACCTCTCCTTATCTGTCTCAATATTTATTTTTAAATGATTAACTCATTCTGTGGGTCTATTGTAAAGGTGTCATGCGAAGTAATTGTAGAGTATAAAATGAAAGCGCTGTGTAAATCTAGATTTTAATATTGACAATGTCTCTTCTATTAGAGAAAAATATTTCAGTTAAATGAATGAAATAGGTGTCCTTATGTTGATTTGTACTTGGGTGCCCTCCTTTACTCTTCTTAACTGTGTTAAGGGGGTTTTAATAACATGTGATACTTCATTTCTTACTCACTGATAAAGCTATGCCATAAATTTAAAAACATTGCGTGTGCTGAAGAGTTACCATGAAAACCCAAAGTGAATCAAAGTAGGTGGATTTCAGTGATGAAAATGTCCTTCTAGACTGATTTGAAATTCTGATCCACAGCCCATTTAAACCAATTCAATCTGTTATTTAGGAAATGCATATATCACTGTCACTTTGCAGTGGTAACTAGCTAGAAATTCTAAGTAGAGAAAATGTACCCAGGATGTGAAGGCTCTTTTCTAGGACCCCAGATCAGAAATGGGCACTTTGTTCTGCAACTGGGAAATACCTGGAGCAGCACAGTATGAAAATCAGAGTATGATTCTTTTTTCAAAGAACTAGTGGAAGAATAAAAGGGGAATTTAAACACCATTGTCTAACTTTTGATACCAATAATTGAAGTCTAAGAAACATTTTTGGGCCTTGCTTACCTCCTTTGGTTCTTCATAGTGGAAATAAACCACTACCCACACCACACTGCATGCCTGTGTGCCTTTGCAGTGCTTGTCTGCCATCCCTCTGTTCGTTTCATTCCTCTTTGAGTTGTATGTGAATTAACCTTGTCAGAAGGTGGAAGCTACTTAAAGTTTTCTTGAAAAAGTTGGGAGCTTTCTCATCACAAATTGCTAGGCATGCTCAAGTGGACATCATAGTTCTCCTTGGAACTGCCATCCATAAACCAAACAGTACTTTGCTGGTCAACTGAGAGGTATTTATAGGGCATTGTCCAAGTGACAATTAAATGCAGAAGGTTCTCCTACAGTTCCAAAGTCAGTCCAAGGGAAAAAGAGGCTCCCTATATGTGAGAATCTCTTCCTTGCATTCCTCTGGTAACAAGATCCAGTATAAACCATTTCTTTTTCAATAGGGATCTCTTTTGGGCACTGTCCTCTCCCATTAGAGTGTTTTTCCAAAATCGCCTTAGATACCGTGGATATTTCAAGTTTCAGCATTGTTTTATGTCCTTCAGTCATAGGGGCACTTTAAATCAATATCCAATAGCAAACTTAGTAGTTGCCTCTGAAATGGAAAGTCTGTAGTCCAGCACCCTGATAGTTGTCACTGGGAGGCACTCGCAGGCTTTCGACATAAGCCCTAGCCCACACTCCACATACAGAGAATTTGTCTGTACCAGTGCTCCAGCTTCTCGGTTCTACACTGCGTGAGCTCAGGCAATCTAATTCATTCCCATTTAGCATGTCCAATTAATAATGCTTGAAGGGTAGATTGACACTGTGCCCTCTGTTTTACTGTACTAGGTAGGAGAAATGGGGTGAAACAGTCAAACCTAAGATCCACTCCCATAAAACATTTAGATAAAGTGTGTTTAAACATTCCAATTTCATTCAAACTTCCTCCTTAATCCTATCAACCTTAACACTTTAATATATTATCATTCTAATTGTAGCCTGCGTTAAGGCTGTAAGCCACTGTGTTGAGGCAATGGCTCCTGCCTGTAATCCCAACACTTTGGGAGGTTGAGGCAGGAGGATCACTTGAGCCCAGGAGTTTGAGACCAGCCTGGGCAACATAGCAAAACCCCATCTCTACTAAAATACAAAAATTAGCTAGGCATGGTAGTGTGCACCTGTAGTCTCATCTACTACAGGGGCTGAGGTGGGAGATCGCTTGAGCCTGGGAGGTGGAGGTTGCAGTAACCTGAGATTGTGCCACTGCACTCCAGCCTGTGTGACACAGTGAGACCCTATCTTTTTTTTTTTAAAAAGACTTCACTAGAAGATTTTGGTGCAACAGCATATAAGGCTCTCAAATGAGTCCCAGAAACTTCTCCATCCCTTGATTATTTGACCCACTCCTGTGCATTAGGTTTTGGGTGTTCAGCAAGGTATCTTGGCCCTTTTGTGAGTCTTTATTTTGATTAATTTACCTTACTATATATCCCCAAGCAATTCCAGATCATGTTTCTAATTGTAATCTTTCCCTTCTTACATTTTAAATTTCTCTGTGCTGGGGCAAATAGAGCAGATTTGTTTGAGCCCTTTAATTTTGGGAAACCATCTGAGGGTCCTTATAGTCCATGCAACCTTTGGTAGTGCTATATTAAGACTTTCATTTCAGGCTGGGTGCCGTGGCTCATGTCTGTAATCCCAATGCTTTGGAAGGCCGAGGTGGGCAGATCACCTGAGTTCAGGAGTTTGAGACCAGCCTGGCCAACATAGGGAAACCCTGTCTCTACTGAAAATACAAAAATTAGGCAGGCATGGTGGTGTGCCCCTGTAATCCCAGCTACTTGGGAGGCTGAGGCAGGAGAATCGCTTGAACCCAAGAGGTGGAAGTTGCAATGAGCCGAGGTCGTGCCACTGTACTGCAGCCTGGGAGACAGGGCAAGACTCCATCTCAAAAAAGACTTTTGTTTCAGTCCCATCAAGGTCTGTTTTATTCACCCTATTTCTTAATAGACACTTAAAAATTTCCACCCTGCTGGGTTGAGTCCTTTGACTCATTATTAATGTTTTTATTAGCATCTGTAAGATGAGAGTAAGCTGAGATAGCAAATTCAATAAGGCTTCTCGTAATGTTAGATTTTGAAGCAGTAAAGTTACATGGAGTGCCCACATAAAAGGAGCCTCCCTAACCGCAGCATTTGCCCTGGGTAACGGATGTATTCAGCGGGTGAATATCCCGATTATCATAAAGCCAGTCCTGCGTGGCTTTTGTGCAGAGCATATCAGCTTCTTCATCTGGGGTGTTCCACTTGGAATTTATAGGGGGAATTGGGCAGTCTCCCTTCTCAAGGTAAACAGACTTCGAGTAGCTTTTATCCAGTCCTTGAGACTGGCTGGTCCCTCAAGGATTGGATAAAACAGTTCAATTCATTTCTGACTGAATCATCACCTTTGTGTCTGGATCACATATAGCCATCTGTGATTGTTCCATAGTGAGCTGTGGGCCCTGTGTCAACCCAAGCATGTTCTTCCACGCTGCAGCATTTAAAAATAAAGATACTGCCTCGAAATTAGTTCCTGTAGCAGAGATTCATCAGGAAGTGGATGATACTTATCTATAAAATGAGACTTCATACTATCCCCTGGTTTCTGTTGAGGGCAGGAGTTCAAGACCAGCCTGGCCAACATGGTGAAACTCCATCTCTACCTCCCTTGTGGCAGATTGCTTGAGGTCAGGAGTGTGAGACCAGCCTGGCCAACATCACGAAACCCTGTCTCTACAAAAAAAAAAAAAAAAAAAATACAGGCATGGTGGTGTGCGATTGTAATCTCAGCTACTTGGGAGGCTGAGGCCCGAGAATTGCAGGTTGCAGTGAGCTGAGATCATGCCACTGCATTCCAGCCTAGGTGACAGAGCGAGACTCCTTCTCAAACACAACAAAATTATGTGGAAACAACAAAGAGTGTCTCTAAGATCTCTGGTCACCAGAAAGGTACTCCACATGGGGGAACCACAAAACCAAGAAACTACAGAATACCTAAGGGTGTTGGTGAGGAAATGCCCAGGCGGTTTCCACATAATTTTTCCCGTTGGGAGTGGCTTTGAGGCTAGTTGTCACGCCCTGACCAGCAGAAATCTGAGCTTGGTCCAGCATCAAGGTTGACCTAGCACTCTTTTAAATTTCATTTTAGCTTTTACATAGAACAATAACCAAGGGATTTTATATTTAACTTTTTTCTGTTGGTTTGCATTTCCTTATATATCCAGTGAATCCCACTCCCTGGGAGGTGGATTCATCTCTAAATTCCATTAGTTACTTTTACCTTCAGTAAATGGTCTCAGCACAGCTACTGCTCCATCCCATGAGTGGCCACCCAGGAATTAAAGGTTCCTAATTCCCCACCCTCTCATTGTCCCTCTTCCCAAACCACAGGTTTCCATGAGCCTGGGCTGTTATAACAAATCTCAGTTTTTCTGACACCAAGTGAGAGAGTCTTTCCTCCCCAACACCTGTCAATTTGTGATACCAACTGGATGCCCAACAGTTCAATTCATTCCTAACTGAATGTCAGACTCCACAGGTTTAAGAGTTCATTCTCACAAGACTGTCCTCACTTCTGATGCCAGCCACAAATGAGGTATCAGGTGTCTTGGTTTATTTGTGTTACTGTAAAATACCTGAGGCTGGTTAATTTATAAAGAAAAGAAGTTTGGCCTGGTGCAGTGGCTTACACCTGTAATCCCAGCACTCTGGGAAGCTGAGACAGGCAGATCTCTTGAGCCCAAGAGTTCAAGACCAGCCTGGGTAACATGGTGAAACCCCGTCTCTACAAAAAAATTAAAAATAAGGCCGGGCACAGTGTATCACGCCTGTAATCCCAGCACTTTGGGAGGCCGAGGTGGGTGGATCACCTGAGGTTGTGAGTTCGAGACCAGCCTGACCAACATGGAGAAACCTCATCTCTACTAAAAATACAGAGTTACCCAGGCGTGGTGGTGCATGCCTGTAATCCCAGCTACTCGGGAGGCTGAGGCAGGAGAATCGCTTGAACCCTGGAGGCAGAGACTGCAGTGAGCCGAGATCGCACCATTGCACTCCAGCCTGGGTAACAAGGGAAACTCCATCTCCAAAGAAAAAAAAAAAAAAAAAGCCAGACATGGTAGTGTATGCCTGTAGTCCCAGCTACTTGGGAGGCTGAGGTCGAGGATCACCTGAGCCCAGGAGTTAGAGGCTGCAGTGAGCCATTATTATGTCACTGCACTACAGCCTCGTGACAGAGCGAGACCCTGTCTCAAAGAAAAATAAAAGAGGTTTATTTGGCTCACAGTTCTGTGCATGTGCTAGCACCTGCTTCTGATGAGGGCCTTGGGAAGCATCTACTCATGGCAGGAGGTGAAGGGGAGCCAGAATCACATGGCAAGAGGAAGGAAGCAAGAGAGAGGAGGGAGATGCCAGACTCTTTTCAATAACCAATTTTCATGGAAAGTAAGAGTGAAAAACTACTCACTCACAACCATGAGAATGGCACAAAGCCATTCATGAGAGATCCACCCCCAGGACCCAAACACCTCACCTCCAACATTGGGGCCAACAAACCATGTCCAAACCGTAGCACCAGGCCACATACATTTTTTCTTGGATGACTACAAAATCAGGGGTTCCCCAACACCATCCCCCAACCCCTCAAGTTCTATAAATTCCCAGAATGATTCACAGAACTCAAGAAAGCACTTTACTTATTGCTAACTGGTTTATTATAAAGGATACAACTCAGAAACAGCCAAATGGAAGAGAGGTGCAAAAGGTGTAGGGGTGGGTGCAGAACTGCTATGCTTTCCTTGGACTTACCCAGCACCTTAATGTATTTGCCAGTCCAGAAGCTCCTCTATATTTCTTCTTCTTCTTCTTCTTCTTTTTTTTTTTTTTTTGAGATGGAGTCTGTCTCTGTCACCCAGGCTGGAGTGCAGTGGCGTGATCTTGGCTCACTGCAACCTTTGCCTCCAGGTTCAGGTGATTCTCCTGCCTCAGCCTCCCGAGTAGCTGGGATTACAGGCACATGCCACCACAGCTAGCTAATTTTTGTATTTTTAGTAGAGACAAGTTACACCACGTTGGCCAGGCTGGTCTTGAACTCCTGACCTCCAGTGATCCACCTGCCTCGGCCTCCCAAGTGCTGGGATTACAGACCTGAGGCAATGCACCTGGCCACCTCTATTTTTTTCTTGAATAAATTTTTGTTCCTTGCTATTTTCTCTAAGAAAATTTTTATTAAGCTTTCAATATATTAGCAAAAAGTCTTAATATTTCCTTGTTTTCTTGACCCCTGTTATATCTGTAGTTTTGTCCTCCTTTTCATTCCTAATACTGTTTGTGCATTCTCTTTTTCCCCCAATTATTTTTACCTGAAGTTTGTCAATTATATTACTTCCTTTTGTTTGTTTGGTTTTTTGAGACAGGGCCTCACCCTGTCGCTCATCCTGGAGTGCAGTAGCACGATCTAGGCTCACTGCAGTCTTGACCTCCCTGGGCTCAGGCAATCCTCCTGCCTTAGCCTCCCACGTAGCTGGAGCTACAGGTGTGTGCCACCATGCCTGGCTAATTTTTTTTTTTATTTTTTGAAATGACAGGGTCTCACTGTGTTGCCTAGACTAGTCCCAAACTCCTGGGTCCAAGCGATCCTCCTGCATTGGCCTCCCAAAGTGCTGGGATCACAGGTATGAGCCATTGTGCCCAGCCCTATTACTCTTTAAAGAACCAGATTTTACTTTCATTGGTATCTTCTGTTGTACCTTTGTTTTCTGTTTTATTAATTTATGGTTTTGTTTTTATTATTCACTTCTTTCTACTACTTTTTTTGGGCTTATTAAACCTTTCTTTCTCCCCACCTGCCCACCAAAACCAGTATCTTAAGCACTTGAGTCCTGTGTTAGCTACATCCCACAAGTCTTAGTATCTGATACTTTCATTATCATTGAATTCTAAAAATAAATAAATAAATAAATAATTTGAGACAGGGTCTTGCTCTGTTGCCCAGACTGGAATGCAGTGGTGTGATCACAGCTTATGGCAGCCTCAACTTCTCAGGGTCAGGCCATCTTCCCACCTCAACCTCCCTTGTAGCTGGGACTACAGGTGCATGCCACCACACCTGGCCAATTTTTAAATTTTTTTTAGAGGTGGGGTCTCTGTATGTTGCCCAGGCTGGTCTTGAACTCCTGGGCTCAAGCAATTCTTTCACCTCGGCCTCTCAAAGTGCTGGGATTAGAGGTGTGAGCCATCATACCTGGCTAGTTCTAAGAATTTTTAAAATTTCATTTATTTTGGCCATTTGTCTTGCTTTTCTCTCTCTCTCTGTTTTTGATGTTTTGAATTGATTTAAATTTTTTTCTCATTGCAGTTTTTTCTGTTTAGATGTTATATGCTCTTTTTCTTAATGATAAATTTTGAGATTTCAACATGAACAGTTACTCTTATGTTATAGAATCTTCACAGATAACTATAAAATGCTTTAACTCCATGCCCATTGTGGCTTACTTGTTATGATTGTTCAGTTTTAATAATCCCTCAAATTAGACATTTTTATTCTATACACTTGGTTTTGTTTAAATTTACTCATAGTGACCTTATTTTGTTTTTCTTTGAAATAAGGTCTCACTCTGTTGCCTAGGCTGGAGTGCAGTGATGCGACTGAACTCCTGGGCTCAAGCAATCCTACTGCCTCAGCCTCCTGATAGCTGGGACTACAGGCACACGCCACCATGCTGGGCTAATTTTTTTCTTACTTTTTTTTTTTCTTTTTGTAGAGATGGGGGTCTCACTGTCTTGTCCAGGCTGGTCGTGAAGTCCTGGGCTCAAGCAGTCCTCTGCCTCAGCCTCCCAAAGTGCTGGGATTATAGGTGTGAGCCACTGCACCCAGCCTCAGTTATTATTTTTTGAAAATTCACATTTTATTTCATATCTTAGAGATTTCTTTTGAGATCAGTCTTCTTCCTAACATGTGTTCTTAGAAGTTCCTTTCCTGAGATAGCTTTCTCTATTAGATCTTATTTTGTCCTTGTTTTTGAAAAATAGTTCATTGGATGTTAAATTCTATGTTAAAAGTTTTTTTTTTTTCCTTAGTACTCTGAGGATAATATTCTATCATCTTAAATAGTTCATTGGATGTTAAATTATATGTTAAAAGTTTTTTTCTCTTAGAACTCTGAGGATAATATTCTATCATCTTCTGGTTTCCTGTATTGCTGTTGAGAAGTCAGCCATCACCTCTAATGTCATTCTAATGAATGACTCTCATTGTTACTCATTAGCCAGAAATCTGTCTTTTCAACTCTGGTTATATTTAAGATTTTCTGTCTTTGGTGTGTGATATTTTGACTGATTTATCTGAATGAGGCTTTATTTGTTCTGCTTGTGGTTCATTATGTTTCCTGAAATTTAAGAATTAATGTCCTTTACCCATTTTGGAAAATTCTCAACTATCTTTGTAAATATTGCATTCATGTATCTTTTTTTAATCCTCCTGAAATTCTAGTGAAACTTTTTTTTGTTGTTGTTGTTGTTTTGTTTTTGAGACAGAGTCTCACTTTATTGCCCAGGATGGAGTACAGTGGTGCAAACTCTGCTCACTGTAACCTTCGCCTCCTGGGTTCAAGCAATTCTCCTGTCTCAGCCTCCTGAGTAGCTGGGACTACAGGCGCATGCCACCATGCCCAGCTAATTTTTGTATTTTTAGTAGAGACGGGGTTTCACCATGTTGGTCAGGCTGGTCTCGAACTCCTAACCTCAAGTGATCCACGCGCCGTGGCCTCCCAGAGTGCTGGGATTACAGGCATGAGCCACTGTGTCCAGCCTTAAACATGTTAATCTGTCTTGCTCAATCTTCCATTATCTCTCAACCCTTTTTTTTTTGGAGATGGAGTCTCACTCTGTTGCCAGGCTGGAGTGCAGTGTTGCAATCTTGTCTCACTGCAAACTCTGCCTCCTGGGTTCAAGTGGTTCTCCTACTTCAGCCTCCCGAGTAGCTGGGACCACAGGTGTGCACCACCATGACCAACTAATTTTTGTGTTTTTAGTAGAGACGGGGTTTCACCATGTTGGCCAGGATGGTCTCGATCTCTTGACCTTGTGATCCGCCCGCCTTGGCCTCCCAAAGTGCTTACAGGCGTGAGCCACCACACCCAGCCTCATTCCAATTTTCTGTGTGTCTCTGTGCTGCATTCTGGGTAATTTCTCCACATCTGTCTCCTGCTTTATGAATTCTCTCTTTACCTGTGTTTAATCTACAATTAGCCCTTTCTTTGACATTTTTTGGTCACAGTGAAGCTTGTTACAGACAAACATGTTTAGGTTGGGTGGCTTAGGTGGTGTGGTGGCTCCACATTGATGTCATACTGAGGACAGGGGTCAAGTACTCCATGATTAGTCTTTGCTCTTACTTCAGGAGCTGCCAGAGGCTGTGCCTTTCATTTTCTAGTGCCGTAGGTCATTGTTGGCAATACCTGAGATGAATTTCTGTGAAACTAGGGAGATAAGCCAAATTATGCATGTGTCTGAGACCTCAAAGCCAACATAATTCAGATAATGCTCAGTCACATTGGGCCAGGCGCATGGCTCACGCCTGTAATCCCTGCATTTAGAAGGCTGAGACAGGTGGATTACTTGAGGTCGGGAGTTTGAGACTAGCCTGGCCAACATAGTGAAACCCCGTCTCTACAAAAATACAAAAATTAGCCAGGCATGGTGGTGTGCACCTGTAATCCCAGCTGCTGGGGAGGCTGAGGCAGGAGAACCACTTGAACTCAGGAGGCGGAGGTTGCAGTGAGCCAAGTTCATGCCACTGCACTCCAGCCTGGGCAACAGAGCGAGATTCCATCTCAAAAATAAAAAATAATCAGTCACAGCATCCAGGATCATAGGTGTATAATCCTCCAGCTACATCAGGAAGTCCACCAGAGGCATGCTGGATACCACCAGCAGCTTCACATCTCCATTGGCAGTGCTTGGCAGGGCATAAGCCTTGCTAGACACAGCTCCTGGTCTGCACCACCATGGCTCCTGTGCCGCCAGCCACAGGTCCAGACCTAGACCCCTCTGTTGCCCTTGAGGGGCTGACCTTATTCTCCACAGTGATGCTGGTGGACAGCATGGCAGGGGCTGAGGCAGCAGAGGCCATTGCCACCTTGGGATCTGTGCCAGAGCCATCACTAGGCACATTTTTGACAGTATGTTTTTATTGTATAATATAGTCAAGCATAATTTTTTAATGTCTACTTTTATTTCATTTTACATGCCTTAGATGTTAACATATTAATTTCTCAAAGCACGTTTACTGGCTACTCATCATGTAGTAGGTCATATGTTGAATGTTAACAATTCTGAGATTAGAAATACAGATATGTCCAGGCACAGTGGCTCATGCCTGTAATCTCAGCACTTTGGGAGGCGGAGGCAGGCAGGCAGATCACTTGAGGTCAGGAGTTCAAGACCAGCCTGGCCAACATGGCGAAACCCCTTTCTACAAAAAACACAAAAAATTAGCCAGGCGTGGTGGTGCACAGCTGTAATCCAAGCTACTCGGGAGGCTGAGGCATGAGAATCACTTGAACCTGGGAGGCAGAGGCTGCAGTGAACCAAGATCGCACCACTGCACTCCAGCCTGGACGAGAGAGTGAGACCCTGTCTCCAAAAATAAATAAATAAAAAGAAAAATACATATATTGCTCTCTAGGAGATGATGGGGTATTGGGGAAGAGAGACCATGAAGAGAGAATTATGATAGAATTGTAATGTTTCAGTGAGATGAATAATTCCTGGGATGGAAATAAAGATAGGGTACTGTTGAAGCATGTAGATAGTACTCTGGTGATAATAAGAAGTGTTAGGGAAGGCTTTCCAAAGAAGCAATTGCCTGAGGAAAAAGTGGAACCTAGTCAGGCAGTGCAAGAGGAAGGGACATTCTGGGCAGAGGAAAACAATATACAAGGGGCACAAGGCCTGTGAAAACATGGACTGCAAGCAAGTGGTCTTACTGCATATGGAGTGATGATAAGGAATGAGGCAGACAAGGGCCAAATCATGAAGAGCCTCATGTGCCTTGCTGAGGCCTGTCTTAAATATTAAAATAACTTCTTTTATACATTCATCACTTTGAGTATCAATTATAAAAAGACTTTCCTAAAATATTTAAGTTTAAAAAAAATGCTTAAAGAAGAAAACTCTGCCTTTTATTTCTTGATTCAGTTAAAAAGAATTGTCTTATTTCTGCTGAGTAATTGCATTATTAAAAAGCGTGTGGGCTGGGCACAGTGGCTCACGCCTGTAATCTTAGCACTTTGGGAGGCAAAGGCGTGTGGATCACCTGAGGTCAGGAGTTCGAGACCAGCCCGGCCAACATGGTGAAACCCCATCTCTACTAAAAATCCAAAAAAATTAGCCAGGTGTGGTGGCGTGTGCCTGTAATCCCAGCTACTCAGGAGGCTGAGTGAGGCAGGAGAATCGCTTGAACCCAGGAAGTGGAGGTTGCAGTGATCCAAGATTGAGCCATTGCGCTCCAGCCTGGGCAGCAAGAGTGAAAACTCGATCTCAAAAAAAAAATTAATAATGTGTGTGGTACTTCAACCAGTCTTGAAGAGAATACAGAACTGGAAAGAAGAATAGACATAGAACACTCACAACACATGGATGGAATAAAATCTAAGCATGTCTTTTTAAGTTATAGATATCTAGCAAAATTATATATATTCTTATCCCATCATCATCTATTCGTTCAAAAATATTGTTTTAGCCTCTATTATATGTCAGATACTGTGGTAGATACTGAGGTTACAAGAATATAAAAGGCCCCAATCCTTGGTTGAAATGATGGCCACAGAGCAGAATCTAAGGAGATTTCTCTGGATTTGGTCTTCATAGTCTATAACTGTAAATTACTGTCTCTGCCTACTCCTGGTGAGTTTTTGTTGTTGTTGTTGGGTTTTTTGTTTGTTTGTTTTTTGTTTTTTTGAGACAGAATCTCACTCTGTCACCCAGGCCTGGAGTGCAGTGGTACGATCGCAGCTCACTGCAACCTCTGCCTCCTGGGTTCAAGTGATTCTTGTACCTCAGCCTCCCAAGTAGCTGAGATTACAGGCATGTGCCACTATGCCTAATTTTTATATTTTTACTAGAGACAGGGTTTTGCCATGATGGGCGGGCTAGTCTTGAACTCCTGGCCTCAGGTGATTCTCCTGCCTTGGCCTCCCAAAGTGCTGGGATTGCAGGTCTTGAGCCACTGTGCTTGGCTTTTTGTTTTTTGTTTTTTTTTCTGAGACGGAGTCTCACTGTTGCCCAGGCTGGAGTGCAGTAGTGCAATCCCGGCTCACTGCAACCTCCGCCTCCTGGGTTCAAGCAATTCTCCTGCCTTAGCCTCCCAAGTAACTGGGATTACAGGTGCCTGCCACCATGCCCTGCTAATTTTTGTATTTTTAGTAGAAATGGGGTTTCACCATGTTGGCCAGACTGGCCTCTAACTTCTGACCTCAGGTAATCCACCCACCTCGGTCTCCCAAAGTACTGGGATCACAGGCATAAGCCACTGTGCCTGCCCGGCCTTTTTTTGTATTTTGTTAGGATTCTGTTGAACTTAAGAGGAAAAAAAACATAACATTTAGTAGTTATCAGTAAATTTTAGTCAGCACTGGGTGTGAAGTGGGCCCTATGCTTTATGGGTAAAATCAGAGAAAGTGGATGCCACTCTGTCCTTAGGAAACCCACAGAGAGGAGAGACAGTACGGGGGCCAAGTGCCATAATGGAGTCCTGTGATAGTGCAGAACTTCAATTAGTTCTGATTAGGGCACAGTTTCTACTTCTAGGGGCCATCCAGCCGACCTCAGGGGTTTCAGGTCAGCTTTTCATCCTCACCCCGCCCCCGCCCCTGGGATAAAAGACCCATATTGCCTACAGTTCAAACATCTGCCTGATTATCCTAGCAGAGTGGTAGGAACTGATTTTCTGATCTCCTCTACTACCCGCCTCACCTGCACAGAGAGTACCAGCTGTCTCAGCCTAGCTTCTTCAGTGGGCCTTGGCTGTAAAATGTGTGTATCCACCCCAGGTAATTAGGTTAGCTCTTTGTGCTCGTATGACTGACCCCTACCTTTTAGGCCACCTGGTGTTTGTTCTAGAAGTTATTCCTATAAACAGATTTTCACCTAAAATTTGAATCTTTATGAATCAAATAAGGAAAATTTTAAGTAAACTTGGGCTGTGGATAACTGATGATTCATTACCAAAAAGGTAGTCATTTAAAATTATAAAATGACACAAAAAATTTAAATGGAAAACATCCTGTTTATGCTTGGTCAGGTCTTTGAGTTGATGTGACTCAAGTAACATCTGATCATTTTCTTAACCTTTTTAAAAAGACTCCCCTAAATTCTTCCTCCCAAAGATTTTACTGTGTTTGTTCACAGTGGGTTCTGTGAAAGGATTATTACAAGCCCACAATCCATTATCCTCAATTCTACAAATCCAAAAAATTCTGAAAACCAAACATTCTTTTTGTAACTCATTCATCAGCAAAACCAGACCTGAACCAAAGTGACCCTATTCATATTCTTTGATTATCTGTCCTACTGGGACATATATGGTTTGCTGCAGAAATATTAATGTATTTAATTATAGGATACTGCCCTAGATAGTTCATATATGTGGTATATGCACCATACTGCTTTTCTAAATTAAAAAATCTGAATTCTAAAGCATATCTACTTCCAAACATTTAAATCGGACTTGTGGACATATGTAAGTATAAAGCAGCCTTTGCAGAGTGGTTTAAAAGGCTGCTTTACTATTGTGGGGAGCTTTTAATTTTGATAAACTAGTGAGTTCATGTAAATAAAACATAACAAAAACACTAATCCTTAATTTTCTGTTAACTCGAGAATACCCAGATATGATAGTTTTGTGGCTAGGGGTTAGACATAGAAAGTGTAACTATGAATGCATGTATCTGTTTGACTTCTTGTACCCCCAAAATAAAGGCTAAAATAAATATAATCAGCTAACCAAAGCTATAGCCACAGTCATATATACTGTGTAAGAAAAAAGCCTCTGATGGAGGTTGCAGTGAGCCGAGATCATGCCACTGCACTCCAGCCTGGGCGACGGGGCCAGACTGTCTCAAAACAAAAGAAAAAAGAAAAATGGGAATTGTGTAAGCATTCATGTATAAAAAAATGATCAAAAATGTTACACTGGCCTGGTGCGGTGGTTCACGCCTGTAATCCCAGCACTTTGGGAGGCCGAGGTAGGCGGATTGCTTGAGGTCAAGAGTTCAAGATCACCCTGGCCAACATGGAGAATCCCCATCTCTACGAAAAATACAAAAATTAGCCTGGTGTGGTGGTGGGCGCCTGTAATCTCAGCTACTTGGGAGGCTGAGGCAGGAGAATCGCTTGAATCCGAGATGTGGAGGTTGCAGTGTGCCAAGATCGCACCATTGCACTCCAGCTTGGGCAACAAAGCGAGACTCCATCTCAAAAATAATAACAATGTTACACTGTATCTTGTACATTTTTAGTGGGATAAATGCCAAGAGCAGTTTTATTAGTTCTTGATTCCTCCACACTTTAAGAGAATATAAGTTCGTCTACCCATGATTTTAAGAAGCAAAGAGTGTGATGTTTCCCACCTACCCACACCCCCTTAAAACTATTCAAATGAAACCATTTAATTCTTTAATTATAGTGGAATAGAACTGACCTATTTTCTGTATGATCATAAAGAAATATTTACTTTTAACGCAGAAATTTTTTTCTTAAGATCCACATTTTCCAGCTTAATGAAGTGATTGTGTTTTTACTTGGACTCTTCCCTTTCCTTTTTCCTTGTTCTGTGCAGATTATCAACGCCTGATGACTGTGGCAGAAGGCATCACCACACTTTTGTTCCCATTTCAATGGCAACATGTTTATGTGCCCATTCTACCTGCTTCTCTGCTACATTTTCTTGATGCTCCTGTCCCTTATCTGATGGGCCTTCAGTCAAAAGAAGGAACTGACCGTTCTAAACTAGAACTTCCTCAAGAGGTAAAACTACAATGAATGATGAAGCATTTGCTGTTTGCTGATTTAGGTCAAGGCGACTTTCGTTAGATTGCATTGTCTTTGTCAAAATTTTATCTGTCTCTTTGACTCTCCTAAATCTCCAAGTATGGCTAGGGGAGAGCCTGAGCTATAGAATGCAGACTCTTGATGATGACTACTACATAGTCATTAAACCTGGTTTAAAACAAGACAGTGGCTGATTTTCACAACTATAAATTTCTGAAGATGGAGCAGTGGTAGCATGATCTCATTGCTTTATTCTAGTAACATATTTTTTTTCTTTATTCACGTTATAAATTTTGTTTTTAAACAATACAGCCCAGGTTTTAGCATCCTTAAATCATTGTATCAATTGAATTTTATTTTTGACCTCTATCAAATGAAAAGTAACATGTTGCAGCAAACTAGGGATAATGGAAATATCAAACACTTCAGTATTCTCTGTTTTCAGATACAAGGCCAGTTATTTGTTCTAAATGTCAGCTTGGCTTGGTGGTTGAGATAAAAATTCTAACACCTAGTTTTTATGCCACCTTAAAGTTATACTTTCTGTGTGTTGTACTTTCAAATGTTTAAAAAAATAGGCCAGGCGTGGTGGGATTACAAGCGCTTGTAATCCCAGCACTTTGGGAGGCCAAGGTGGGCGGATCACAAGGTCAAGAGATCCAGACCATCCTGGCTAACATGATGAAACCCATCTCTACTAAAAATACCAAAAATTAGCCAGGCATGGTGGCACACACCTGTAGTCCCAGGTACTTGGAAGGCTGAGGCAGGAGAATCGCTTGAACCCTAGAGGTATAGGTTTCAGTAAGCCAAGATCGTGCCACTGCACTCCAGGGTGACAGAGCGAGATTCCGTCTCAAAAATAAATAAATAAACAAGAATTATTGAAAGCATATTTCTGATCTATAAAGTAAGAATAGTAACACCTCCTAGGTGTTGTTTTTACTTTTTTTTTTCTTTTCTTTTGAGATGGAGTTTCGCTCTTGTTGCCCAGGCTGGAGTGCAATGGCGGGATCTTGGCTCACCGCCTCCTGGGTTTAAGTGATTCTCCTGCCTCGTCCTCCCGAGTAGCTGGGATTACAGGCATGCACCACCACGCCCAGCTAATTTTGTATTTTTAGTAGAGACGGGTTTTCTTCATGTTGGTCAGGCTGGTGTCAAACTCCCATCTTCAGGTGATCTGCCCGCCCCGGCCTCCCAAAATGCTGGGATTACAGGCATGAGCCACCGTGCCTGGCCTAATTGTTACTTATTGTTAATGGTACTGAGGATTACCATGTAAGGTCTTTGAAATGAAATATGGATAAGAGTGTGCCACAGCCTTTTACAAAACATAAGATGATTAATTACATTATATCACTAGCTATTTAATTCACATCTTTCTTAATAGAATCTCATGCTGAGATTCACCTTTATTTGTTCTTATTTCCCATAGAGATTCTCATTTTAATAAGTGAATTTAACACACTAAGCCACAGCCATTATTTCCTGTAATGATTCTCATAATCATCCACTGCTTACTTTTATTCTAATGAATATTTCCCCACAAAAATTAAGGTTTTTGCTCAAAGGAAAATAGCATGATTCAGATCACATAAGAGACATATACAGACTATTGTTCTTTTTGGGCTTGTGCATGTTTTTCTTCTCTGTTTTACCTCTTTTCTCTATTCCTTGAATGTTCTTGTTTTTGCTTTCATTAAATTAGTCAAGTATGTTATTTGCTCCAAGAAGTTAATCCTTTAAATTTTCAAGGAAAAAGAAATAGACTAGCCAAATGCATTTTGTTTTGAAGACTTAATGATATTTTAGTTTCTTGTTGAGTGACTGATCTATTTTGTATGTTAATCCATGTAATATTTTATAAGATAATTTATATGTATGTTGTCTTTCCATTTTTCATAACAATTGTTGAGAGATTTTTAAATGGCAGCTTGATATATCTGTAGTTGGGAAACCTTTCCATCTCTATGCCTGTTTGTATCCACTAAAGATAAACAAATTTAAGGATTCTGAAAGCTCCTACAGTAATGTCTGTGATTTTCTAATTTTTCATTAATGAGATCAACACTGCTTAATAAATACGTATACTCATCTGTTCATAGAGTAGAATAATATGAAATAACCTGAATTAGCTGTGAAAATAGCAGTGCTTCGGCTGGGCGTGGTGGCTCACGCCTGTAATCCCAGCACTTTGGGAGGCTGAGGCGGGCGGATCACGAGGTGAGGAGATCGAGACCATCCTGGATAACACGGTGAAACCCTGTCTCTACTAAAAATACAAAAAAAATAGCCGGGCGTGGTGGCAGGCGCCTGTAGTCCCAGCTACTCGGGAGGCTGAGGCAGGAGAATGGCATGAACCCGGGAGGCGGAGTTTGCAGTGAGCCAAGATCGCATCACTGCACTCCAGCCTGGGCGACAGAGCGAGACTCCATCTCAAAAAAAAAAAAAGAAAAGAAAATAGCAGTGCTTCTGTGTAGAAACTATAAATTAGGACATCATTGTTTTATAAGAAAAGGCTAACAGCCTCTTTGTTCTGGTATCATTTTACAATGAGGTGAAATAATCTGCTTCACATAATTTTGGAGAGGAAGTAGATATAAAAATAGTCATTTAAAAAAATGACTTAAATGCACTCACTAGTAATACTTTCCTCCACCTTTCCCTGAAAAGTCTAAAATAAAATAATGGCTAAAAATAGTGACAAGACTTCTAAACATAGTTACAAAAATAACAAATTTGCAAAATGATTATTTTAAGAAGGTATGATTTTAGTTGCTAGCTAACTAATATAACTACATAGATTTATAAATTAATCACCAATTAGCTATCCTCATGATTTAAGAGTGATACCCACAAGTAGCCATTTGTAATACTGTTTTTTAGGGAGTAGGATAGAGAGAATGAGAGTGGAAGGAAGGCACTGAAGATTAATTGCATGGAATGTACCTCACTTTCTACTGTTCTTACTCATCTTCACAGTAACTGGTAGACAAAAAGTTAAGAGAAAAACTGAAACAGAGCTGCTTTTGCAACTTTGTTCTTGTCATATCTTGCCCTGAGATTCTGAGGAAATAATTTATTTTATTTTTTAGACAGGGTCTCACTCTGTCACCCAGGCAGGAATGTGGTGGCACAGCTCACTGCAGCCTTGACCTCCTGAGCTCAGGAGATCCTCCCACCTCAGCCTCATGAGTAGCTGGGACGAGAGGCACACACCACCACACCCAGCTAATTTTTTAAAATTATTATTTGTAGAGATGGAGTCTCACTACATTGCCCAGGCTGGTCTTGAACTCTTGGGCTCAAGCGATCCTCTGGCTTTGGCTTTCCAAAGATTACCAGCATCATCCACAGCATCTGGCCCAGAGGGAATATTTTAAATGCTCTCCTCTCTCTGGCTTACCCTCAAGCTGGCTTAACTTCAGACACTGAGAAGTGAGATCACTTACTAAACATGAAGAGAGCTGCATTAGTCTCTCATTTGTGGATACTTCCTGCTCCGGCCTACAGTTTTAGGGTTCCCCCAAATGACCATCTCCTCAGAGCTTATTCTTTCATTTGCCAAACAGTTGTCTCATACACTATTTGTGTAGAATACAGTGGGAGACACCAAGTCAAAAAGAGGTGATTTCTGCTTTTCAAAAAAGTCATTTACAAATACCAATAACACAAGTTAAAAAGTAAGTCAGTAAGAGGAATGAATGAACAGAGAAGATCCAGAGGAGATCAGAATGCCTTTAGGGTAAGGGTATAGGAAGGTTTCATGACAGAAGAGATGATTAAGCTTTAAGCCTTTGTTTTCTTACTTTTGAGGGAATTTTTTTTTTTTTTTTTTTTGAGACGGAGTCTCACTCTGTTGCCCAGGCTGGAGTGCAGTGGCGCCGTCTCAGCTGACTGCAACCTCCACCTGCCAGGTTCAAGTGATTCTTTTGCCTCAACTTCCCAAATAGCTGGGATTACAGGTGCACGCCACCACACTTCGCTAATTTTTGTATTTGCACTAGAGATGGGGTTTCACCATGTTGGCCAGGCTGGTCTTGAACTTCTGACCTCAAGTGATCCACCCACCTCAGGCTCCCAAAGTGCTGGGATTACAGGCATGAGCCACTGTGCCCGGCCACTTTTGTTGTTGTTGTTGTTTTGTTTTTGAGACGGAGTCTCACTCTGTCGCCTGGGCTGGAGTGCAGTGGCATGATCTTGGCACACTGCAACCTCTGCCTCCTGGGTTCAAGTGATTCTCCTGCCTCAACCTCTCAACTAGCTGGGATTACAGGCGCCTGCCACTACGCCCAGCTTATTTTTTGTGTTTAGTAGAGACGGGCTTTCACCATGTTGGTCAGGCTGATCTCAAACTCCTGACCTTGTGATTTGCCCACCTTGGCCTCCCAAAGTGCTGGGATTACAGGCATGAGCCACCATGCCCAGCCCACTTTTGTTGTTTTTAATAGGAAGTAGTTACATATCATGAAGGCTTGTGAGCAGTGTTGATCAGTAGAAATATTTAGTCCTAAAGCAATGTCAGATTGAGGTGTTGAGTAAATTTTTATCATGTAATACTTATTGAGCTCTTCTGAATTTTTTTTAATTTAATGGTGTTAAAAGTGAGAAGCAACTTATCAGAATGCCCTATTATAGAGTTCTCGTTTGTTTTGGAGAAAGGGCTTTTTGGTTTTCTTCAATACATTTTCATAACACAGTTTGTATTTCCTGTTCTACTTTGAGATAATCAAAGCCCCAGCTTGGGCCCTTCTTAAGCAGACATAGGAGACTTTTGTGGGATCATGAAGACAGACCAGTAGCTATGGTGTTGGAACTCCTACTTTGTAGTACACTCAGCTCAGCAGTGATTTCATGACCATAATAAGCTTTAAAATTTCAGAAAATGTATCATTTTCCCTTTTCATAGGAGGAGGAGAGGGATAGAAAAAGGTAGTAGGAAGGCATTAGTGAAGGTGATAGTACAAAATCTAAGTGGTGGGAGGTTGCTGGTTAACATTTAGATTAGCAAATTAGTAAATTTTTTCTTCCATTTTAAAGATACTGAATTGGCCGGGCGCGGTGGCTCACGCCTGTAATCCCAGCACTTTGGGACGCCAAGGTGGGCGGATCACAAGGTCAGGAGATCGAGACCATCCTGGCTAACACGGTGAAACCCTGTCTCTGCTAAAAATACAAAAAAAATTAGCCGGGCGTGGTGGCAGGCACCTGTAGTCCCAGCTACTTGGGAGGCTGAGGCAGGAGAATGGCGTGAACCCAGGAGGCAGAGGTTGCAGTGAGCCAAGATCGCACCACTGCACTCCAGCCTGGGCAACAGAGCAAGACTCCATCTCAAAAAAAAAAAAAAAAAAAAAAAAGATACTGAATCATCCATTCAAATTATGTGACCTTCATTTAAGCCTTTCAGTGTAAAGAATGGTGTAGGCCGGCCAGGCGCAGTGGCTCACACCTATAATCCCAGCACTGTGAGAGGCTGAGGCAGGTGGATTACGAGGTCAGGAGTTCAAGACCAGCCTGGCCAAGATGGTGAAACCCCATCTCTACTAAGAATATAAAAAAATTACCCAGGCATGGTGGTGGACACCTGTAATCCCAGCTACGCGGGAGGCTGAGGCAGACAATTGCTCGAACCCAGGAGGCAGAGTTTGCAGTGAGCTGAGATCGCACCACTACACTCCAGCCTGGGTGACAGAGCAAGACTACATCTCAAAAAAAGAAAAGAAAAGAATGGTGTAGGCAGTGCTACTGTCTTCAGCAAGATGCGACATTTCAGCTCTTTATTTATTTAGAGAAAACTGCTGACATTGGAGGTGAGGAAAAATAGCAGGGAAAGGCCATAAGCCACCAGGCTGT
The DNA here is from genome assembly GCF_000001405.40 of Homo sapiens. NCBI lineage: Eukaryota > Metazoa > Chordata > Mammalia > Primates > Hominidae > Homo > Homo sapiens. The sequence continues at coordinate 31,454,316 of NC_000012.12, read as the reverse complement.
TTGAGGGTGCACATTTGGAACAGGTGCCAGGAAGTCACCTAATTTCTTGGGCCTCGGTTTCTTCATCTGCAAAATTAAAAGACTGGATTCAAAGATTACATCAGGCTTTAGGAATCATTGTTGATCATCTGGCTTTGAAAGGAGGGAAACCGAAATTTTTTTTTTTTTTTTTTTGGCCAAAGTCTCGCTGTGTTTTGCCCAGGCTGGAGTGCAGTGGCACGATCTTAGCTCACTGCAACCTCTGCCTCCTGAGGTCAAGTGATTATCCTGCCTTAGCCTCCCGAGTAGCTGGGATTACAGGTGCATGCCACCATGCCCAGCTAATTTTTATATTTTTAGTAGAGACAGAGTTTCACCATGTTGGCCAGACTGGTCTTGAACTCCTGACCTCAAGTCATCCTCCCGCCTCAGCCTCCCAAAGTGCTGGAATTACAGGCATGAGGCACCATGCTAGGCCTCATTTTGAGTTTTTATTGAGCTTAATTTAGAGTTTCACTATGCTGCTTGCTAATTGGTATCTAACATGAAGAGCAAGGATCAAAAGAGAAAAACAAAGACCCGACTGGTTGCTTTCCCCTTTCCCCTTACTTTGCCGTCTAGGATCAGAGAGCAGTGTGAATTTTCCCCTTGGTGCCTGGGGGTGGGGGAGCCAGGGAGAAACACATAGTGAAGCTTCCTATTTTGTTTATTAACTTCCACCCCATGTCTTATGTTCAACCATTGATGTAATCAATATTATTTTTATGTGATGGGCTACACTTTTGGCACTCCACCCCCCAATCTAGAAACACAACCTTCTTTTTAACTAACAACCTTGTCCTGATTAAGAGAGTATGGACAGTAGAGGTTAAATACTGTTTGAAGTCTACTACAGATACCTGAGGGATAATCAGAACTTTATACATATGCTTGGCCTCTTGAATTTTCTATATCTACTTGAAAAATATTTAAAATATTTATTCAAAATAAATTCCAAATGTAGAGTGTAAACAAACTCAAACATTTCTTCTGATTTCTGTCACCTCTTCTACTCAACTCAAAAATATCTTGTGTGAACTCTTAATTATTCAAAGGTTAATCAAGTGCATAGTTACATATGCACTTGCCTCTACCACCTCTCTCTGCCTCCTGCATTAGGTATAATGACTTCTGAAATGGTTTTGCTCTAGGAGGTTTAGTGAATTTTGAGTAAAGTTAAAATTTGTGGATTATCTGTGAATTGGATTGATTTTGCCAGTTTCATCCTATTGGGAGATACTACAGCTGCTGGTTTTTGGTGATTATTGTCAATTCTGCATTACAGATGTTAGAGCAGTGGAGTGGCAAAGAAAGTTCAAGTGCATACAGTGAGCATTTTACCTAATATCATGTATTTGTAAGGTCTTATGAGTCTGGGCACGCTTACCCACATAGGAATGCCTAAATGGATGCCAATTGTTAGAAAATCATATTCAGATTATAATATATTGCTGAGACCCAGAGAAAATTATTCATATATATTAAGTATGGTATAAAAAACTCACATAGGGAAAAATGATGGAAAAAGAGGTTATTTTTAAAGAATAAGAAATTCTAAACCTTGCAAAGATTAACATAAAAGGCACCATAATCTATGCTTTTGTTTGTAATAGTTGGCAAGAATTTTTTTTTCTTTTTGTAGAAACAGAATCTTGCCGTGTTTCCCAGTCTTGTCTCGAACCCCTGGGCTCAAGCGATCCTTTTGCTTTGGCCTCCCAAAGTGCTGGGATTATGTGTGAGCCACTGTGGCTGGCTGGCAAGAATATGTTAGCACATACAATTCCTTTATTTTAAACCTTTGTATTTCATTTTTCTCTTTCAGGCTAATTTGTGTTTTGTGGACATTGACAACCATTTTATTGAGTTGCCTGAAGAATTTCCACAGTTCCCCAATAAAGTGGATTTTATCCAAGAACTCTCTGAGGTTCTTGTTCAATTTGGGATCCCTCCTGAGGGCAGCCTACATTGCAGTGAGAGTACCAGCAAACTGAAGAATATGGTTCTGAAAGACTTGGTCAATGACAAAAAGAACGGCAATGTCTGTACTAATAACATCAGCATGTATGAGTTACTGAAGGGCAATGAAACCATAGCCCGCTTGCAGGCTCTGGCCAAGCGTACTGGTGTGGCTGTGGAAAAAATGGACCTCTCTGCTTCTCTGGGTGAAAAAGACAAGGATTTAAAACTGCATTGTGAAGAGGCAGAACTAAGGGACTACCAGCTCAATGTACAGCTCCGAGAGGTCTTTGCTAACCGTTTTACACAGATGTTTGCAGATTACGAAGCATTTGTCATTCAGACTGCCCAGGACATGGAATCCTGGCTGACCAACCGGGAACAGATGCAGAACTTTGACAAAGTAAAAAGAACCATAGTTTTCCTTTTGTGGTTATTAGTGGCTTTATTATTGATTTTAACATTTTTAAATTTTTTATTCTTCTGTGCCTATGCTTACCCATATATTATTGATTTTGTTAACCTTTTTTAAATGCAGACTTTTTGTCTTCCAGCCCCATTAAGAACTTTTCTTTACCAAGTATTTTTACATTAGATAAAATAATTTTACAAGCAAATAAACCAGCTCATTGAACTGGTCATTAAATTGTGCGTTAAATTGCCTGTAATCTCATTTTCAATTTTTCTTTACCTTAAAGATGCTTAAATTATAGAAACTCAGGCCGGGCACGGTGGCTCATGCCTGTAATCCCAGAACTTTGGGAGGCCGAGGCGGACGGATCACAAGGTCAGGAGTTTGAGACCAGCCTGGCCAATATGGTGAAACCCCGTCTCTACGAAAAATACAAAAAATTAGCTGGGCGTGGTGGCGCACACCTGTAGTCCCAGCTACTCAGGAGGCTGAGGCAGGAGAATCGCTTGAACCCGGGAGGCAGAGGTTGCAGTGAGCCAAGATAGCGCCACTGTACTCCGGCCTGGGCAACAGAGAGAGACTCCATCTCAAAAAAAATAAATAAATAAATAAAAATTTATAGAAACTCTTACATTTTGCAGGTTTTCCAAATCTGTTAATACTGTTTAACCTTATAACAGTTTTATTTACTCTTACTTTATGATCAAGTATGGTTAAATAAGCCTACTCCTTTTTGAAGAAATCTATTTATTTAGTCTAGAAATCATTTATTTAGTCTTTATCCTATCAGGAAGTCACAACTTGTCCATGTAAAGTTAACAGTTTGGTTTCAGAAGCCAAATTTCTCTATCTCATTTTAAGATAAAAGGAGAAAAAGAGTGACTAAATTAAGTTTTATGGCTGTAAGTGTAAAACAATTCCAAAGATTTTGGAAAGAGAAGTCAGAAAATATACCAGCTTTCCTTGTCCTGTGATTTCTAAGGGGTACTGGATTCTTCTGCCAGTTTTTTTTCACCTATCTCCCAGATTTTATTTTTCAGACAGATGCACTTAGGGTTGTATAGTAACTCTTTTAGGTCACCAGGGTACAGTTTAGTTCTTTACTGCTGTGATTGCTGAGGTATAATACTGCTATTAGAATGTATCATGGGTTTCACTAAGTGGCCTCTTTGGGTCATGAAAGGCCTTCTAAAGGGGCTGATACATTCCAAGAGGCTAATCTACAGTACTGGAGAATTTTTGGAAATAATGAAAAATTTTCGTAAAGGTACATAGTGGCTGGGCATGGTGGCTCACACTTGTAATCCCAACACTAGGAGGTTGAGGCTGGAGGATCATTTGAGGCCAGGAGTGTGAGACCAGCCTAGGCAACATAGTGAGAACTCATCTCTACAAAAAATTTTAAAATTAGCCGGGCATGGTGGTGTGCTCCTCTGGTCCCAATGACTCTGGAGGCTGAGGTGAGATCACTTGAGCTTCAGAAGTTGAGGCTGCAGTGAGCCAAGATGATGCCACTGCACTCCAGCTTGGGCTAGCGAGTGAGACCCTGTCTCAAAAAAACAAAAGATAATTTTTTTACTTCATCAGATATTTTTTCTGTTGGAGGATGATATTGTATGTTGAACAGTTACGTTCTGGTGTTCTTTGTTTTTCCCCACATCAGACAGGTAATGTTCTAACATGGTAACAAAGTTTGAGGAAGGTACATCTCACACATGAGCATGAAAAGCCAATTATTACATTTATGAACTACAAAAGCATCCTGATGCACTTACGTTTGAGAAAACTTCTTTAATATTAACAAGACTTCACTTCTTTAAGTGTATGCCCTTAGGTTCCTTTTTCGTTAGTCTTAACCATTTTCCATACTTTTTCCTATCTAGCTTAGAACTAATCTGTGGGCTGGGCACAGTGGCTCACGCCTGTAATCCCAACACTTTGGGAGGCTGAGGCGGGCGAATCACAAGGTCAGGAGATCGAGACCATCCTGGCTAACATGGTGAAACCTCGTCTCTACTAAAAATACAAAAAAATTAGCCGGGCGTGGTGGCAGGCACCTATAGTCCCAGCTACTTGGGAGGCTGAGGCAGAAGAATGGCATGAACCCGGGAGGTGGAGCTTGGCAGTGAGCTGAGATCACGCCACTGGACGCCAGCCTGGGCGACAGCGAGACTCTGTCTCAAAAAAAAAAAAAAAAAACTAATCTGTGTATATCCATGGTTTATCCTTGGGACAATTCAAATTCTTACCTAAATCAAGCCCTGATACTTCCTTCCTTCTTAATCTTTATGTAGCCTCAAACTATATAAATGGAATTCTTTTTACATAACCCCTAAAGAAATGAAAATTTTCTGTTGGATTCCAGAAGGCTTATAAGTACCTTTCACTAGGAAAATCTGCAGGACATACTAGTCGTACAAGCCAAATCGTTGTTGACCTAAAATTTTATAGTTTATGAGGGTCTGAATATCAAAAGCCAGATCTTTGGCCCACTTTTTTTAAAAAAAGGCTATTTGATGTATGAAAAGTAAGATGTTTATTGGTGAAGGTGAACTGATTTCTAGACTACTGTGAATCTTTCTGTGGTTATTTGGATTTATGTATATACACCTGAACTATGGAACTACTTAAAGTGAATAAGTGGATTTCTATAAGGAAATTTTAAGAAGACCTCCTAAATTTCAGAATGAAAGTAAATATGCTAGCAAGAAGCTGATGAGTATTTTTAAAAGTCACCTTATGTCAGAACTTATTTCTCTTTCCTCTTTCCCCTTTCCCCTTCTGGCTTCTGCCATGCAAAAATAAAAACCAACCCAGCAACCAAAATAGGAATTTACTTCCAAATTTACTTCCAGATTTTAGTACTGCATTGAATGTAGAATCCCTGTACACACATGAGCATGGAAGAACAACAGAAAAAAAAATGACACTTTTAATTAGGAACTGATTACGATGTACTGAACCATCCCATGCATCAGACAGGCTAGTAACAGGAAAGGTGTACAGCTTATTGTACTCGTTCTCCAAAGGCTTGCTTCTGATGGTTTTTCAGGCAATGATTTGTTTTTGTTTGTTTGTTTTTTTGGAAATGCGGTTTCACTATGTTTCTTTAGGCTGGCCTCAAACTCCTGGGCTCACAGGATCCTCCGGCTTCAGCCTCCCTAGTGGCTGGGACTGTAGGTGGCCACCACCATGCCCAGCTTCCAGGCAGTGCCTTTTTTAGTTGTTAAGGCTGAGACTGTTGTGTCAGCACAGGTGTGGAAGGAATTTTTCCTTGGCTTAACACTCATCTATTGATTTCTCACAGAGTTAAAGAGTCTAGAAAAGCATTCACTTAAAGAAGAACAAAAGAACTTCACCCATAAGCATAAATTCCATGTCTTTTTTAAGATTAATGCTGATGTGTTTATTGTATCAGTTAATCATCTCACTACCTTGTGGCTTGAAAGTATATTTCATAGGCTAGGAATAGAGAACAGAAGGAATTACAACTTGTAGCTGGGCGCGGTGGCTCACGCCTGTAATCCCAGCACTTTGGGAGGCCGAGGCGGGCGGAGCATGAGGTCAGGAGATCGAGACCATCTTGGCTAACATGGTGAAACCCCGTCTCTACTAAAAATTCAAAAAAATTAGCCGGGCGTGGTGGCAGGCGCCTGTAGTCCCAGCTACTCAGGAGGCTGAGGCAGGAGAATGGCATGAACCCGGGAGGCGGGAGCTTGCAGTGAGCCGAGATCGTGCCACTGCACTCCAGCCTGGGCGACAGAGCGAGACTCCATCTCAAAGAAAAAAAAAAAACGAAATTACAACTCATTGGGGAAAGGGATAAAAATTTTTAACTGCAAGTGAAGTGGATGATTGACAATTGTATAGCAACTTATCTGCCATCTTTCGTTACTGATGCCCTCTTTGCTACATAATGGTCATAAGGATCAGAATGTAAATTTTGTAAGGTAAGATCAGTGCTAAAGACCTAAGTGACGTACATTCTCTAAATTTAGGAAAATGGAAAGAAAAGTGGATTTTTAAGGATTTTTGAATTTCAAGTGTCAGTTTTATAAGATTTAAAAAAGGAATGTCCTGAGTTAACATAATTTTCAGGCTTATCATGTAGTGTTGAGATGGTCTCTTTGCACTAATAATTTCCTAATTATCTCATTACAGGCTTCCTTTCTGTCTGACCAGCCTGAGCCTTACCTGCCATTTCTTTCACGCTTCATTGAAACACAGATGTTTGCCACCTTTATTGATAATAAAATTATGTCTCAGTGGGAAGAGAAAGATCCTTTGCTTCGGGTCTTTGACACTCGGATTGATAAGATAAGGCTGTATAATGTAAGGGCACCCACCTTGCGGACATCTATATATCAGAAATGCAGCACTTTAAAAGAAGCAGGTACATTTGCCATGCCTTTTAAATTAAATTAAAATCCATTATCGCTTTTTTCCCACAAATTGCTGGCCTTACGTACAACAAAATTAATTTTCAGTTTTAGACTTCATGGCTAATCCTGGTACTATATCACGAAATGCTTTGTAAATTTTTCTTTCTGAGTCCTACTCCTACTTGACGTTCCTCTTCTCTTAGAAGAGGAAAAACAATAATAAATTGAATCAAGTATGTCTGGAAGGTTGCTATGATTTTTGTTTTTGTTTTTGTTTTTGAGATGGTTCTCACTCTGTCACCCAGGCTAGAGTGCAGTGGCGCAATCTTGACTCACTGCAACCTCCGCCTCCTGGGTTCAAATGTTTCTCCTGCCTCTGCCTCCCAATTAGCTGGGATTACAGGCACGCACCATCACGCCTGACTAATTTTTGTATTTTTATAGAGTTGGGATTTCACCATGTTGGCCAGGCTGGTCTTGAACTGCTGACCTCAGGTGATCTGCCCTCCTCAGCCTCCCAAAGTGCTGGGATTACAGGTGTGAGCCACCATGTCCAGCCTGACTTTTGTTTTATTCTCTTTATTGCCTAAATGGAAAAAATGTTAATTTCTGTCTTGCTACTTATGTTTCTTTTTCTTTTTCTTTTTCTTTTTTTTTTTTTTGAGGCGGAGTCTCACTCTGTCGCCCAGGCTGGAGTGCAGTGGCGCCATCTTGGCTCACTGCAAGCGCCACCTCCCGGGTTCACGCCATTCTCCTGCCCCGAGTAGCTGGGACTATAGGCGCCCACCACCACACCCGGCTAATTTTTTGAATTTTCAGTAGAGACGGGGTTTCACTGTGTTAGCCAGGATGGTGTCGATCTCCCGACCTCGTGATCGCCCACCTCGGCCTCCCAAAGTGCTGGGATTACAGGCGTGAGCCACTGCGCCCGGCCTTATGTTTCATTTTTACTTCTCACCTCTTCTCTATATCCAAGAAAGGATATTTATTTAAAACAGTAAATCTTAGATTCTGCTTAATTTACATACTAAAACAGTATCTTTGCTTTAGTAGTGCCATTAATTATAATAGCTTCACTTATTGAAATTAAATCTGACTCAGGCTGGGCGTGATGGTTCACACTTTTAATCCCAGCACTTTGGAAGGCCAAGGCCAGCGGATCACTTGAGGTCAGGAGTTCAAGACCAGCCTGGCCGACATGGCGAAACCCCATCTCTACTAAAAATACAAAAATTAGCCAGGTGTGGTGTCATGCGCCTGTAATCCCAGCTACTAGGGAGGCTGACATAGAAGAATCACTTGAACCCGGGAGGCGGAGGTTGCAGTGAGCCAATGTGGCACCACTGCACTCCCGCCTGGGCAACAGAGCAAGACTCCGTCTCAAAAAAATAAAAAGAAAGCAGTTAAATCTGAGTCTTAGCCAGTCTTGTCTAGGAGTGTAATATAGTCCATTAAATAAATAATCATATTAATAGCCAACATGAGTATTTACTATGTCAGTCATCATGCCAGGTGTTCACGAATTTTTTTTTTTTTCTTTTGAGACAGGGTCTCACTTGTTGCCTAGGCTGGAGTGCAGTGGTGCCATCATGGCTCACTGCAGCCTCAACTTCCTGGGCTCAGGTGATGTTCCTACCACAGCCTCCTGGGGAACTGGTACTATAGGCATGTGCCACCACCCTCGGGTAATTTTTTGTATTTTTTGTAGAGACAGGGTTTCACCATGTTGCTCAGGTTATTATCTTACCTTGGTTGGTCTTGAACTCCTGGGCTTAAGTGATCCACCTGCTTCAGTTTCCTAAAGTGCTGGGATTACAGGTGTGAGCCCAGCACCCTTTTTTTTTTTGAAACAGAATCTCGCTGTCACTCAGGCTGGAGTGCAGTGGTGCCATCTCGGCTCACTGCAACCTCTGCCTCCTGGGTTGAAGTGATCCTCCCACCACAGCCTCCCAAGTAGCTGGGACTACAGATGCATGCCACCATGCCTGGCTAATTTTTTGTATTTTTGGTAGAGACAGGGATTCACGATGTTGCTCAGGCTGGTCTTGAACTCCTGAGCTCAAACAAAACACCTGCCTTGGCCTCCCAAAATGCTAGGATTACAGGCATGAGCCATCATGTCTGGCCTGGAATACTTATTTTTATTTTGTTTTATTACTGCCCTCATTTTACAATTGAGAAAACTGAGAGGTTAAGTAACTTGCCTGTGGTTGGTGGTTGCATAGCTAGTGATTGGTCGAGCCATGGTTTGAATCCAGGTCTGATTTCTGGCACAGGAAGCCTTAACATCATGTTAGCTGTTCATTCAAGAAAGAACTATGTAAAATGTACTAGTCCACACTTATTTTATACAATTATGCCTGGTCCTTAACCTGTTCTTTGCCAGATAAGCAGATACCTATCACCTGACGGCCCTCCCTTTTATTTCTTTCCCTTCAAATGTTGGAGTTATTTGACAGCAACTTTTCCTCTGGAGAAAAAGGAGGCAGCAAATGTGGAGCTTCCTTGATCTGTCTCTCTTGATTGCTTGCCTGCCTTTCCCACTTTACTTAAATAGATCAAAGTCAGGAATGATGATGCTGAAGCTTTAGCGTATGTAAGGGAGAAGTATGTAAATGATGTCTTTTATGTAACCATAGAAACATCACCCTGTTGTATTCCCACGAATCAGGGTAGATCCCTGGAGCCCCTTCAGGAAGTGGCAATTACCTATGTGGTTTTGGAAATTGAGAAAGTAGAATTAATGAAATTGTCTATCCTTGTTCAGAGAATAAAATGACTTCCAGTGCCTTAATAGCCATGTGAATAGCATAATGCCTTGTTGCACAAATTTTATTTCTCCCTTCCTGATGGAATTTTTTAGATGGAACTAAGCACCAATACCTTAATTGTGTGCTTCCAGAAAGTCTTTCCAATTAAAATAGATTTTCTTTCAGCCTCTCAGAGAGTTTGGTACTCCCACTGTCATCACAGAAATTATATAATACTCTTGAAAATACCACTGTGGCCAGGCACAATGGCTAACGCCTGTAATCCCAGCACTTTGGGAGGCCGAGGAGGGCAGATCATCTGGGGTCATGGGTTCGAGACCAGCCTGGCCAATGTGGTGAAACCCCATCTCTACTAAAAATACAAAAATTAGCTGGGCATGGTGGCGGGTGCCTGTAATCCCAGCTACTCGGGAGGCTGAGGCAGGAGAATCGCTTGAACCCAGGAGGTGGAGGTTGCAGTGAGCTGAGATTGCGCCATTGCACTCCAGCCTAGACTCCATCTGAAAAAAAAGGAAAAGGGGCAACATAAACTGATTCTATGAAATATTTATAAAGGCACCTGGTTCTTCTCTTAAATCACAAAATTAGCAGCTCCCACAGTGTGTTCTGTTTATCACACAACTACCATTACTGCTTGTTCTCCCCTTTTAAGTAATCTCTAGGCAGAGGATCAGAGACCTAGGCTTGCTTCTAAAATATATTTTCTCTTGACAATTCAGTTGATTAAAATGTTTAAGATCAGGTTTTATTTATTTGTTTACCTGAGAAATAGATCACTGTTTCTGGGGACTTTGAGACATCTTCCAACATCCCTGACTCTTAGTGGTTTTAAAATAGAAATGTTTAGTAATCCTATCTTAACATTCACCTATTTTATTCTTCAAAAGGCCAGTTTCTTATCCTCTGGACATTTTCTAAATGCCTGCTTATATGACTTTTTGCTGTATTACCTTCTTGATCTAATAAACACTCCAAAATGACTCCTACTAATGAGAACGTGACTGTTGCTAAAAGTGAGGTAATAAACTTCACACCGTTCCTTGTTTTTACAGATGGAGAACCACGAATATTTAATAGGTCTTTGTATAAAGAAGTAAAGTTAATAAGGCCATTGTGCTTGCGTCTTCTCTTTAACTTGTATTTCAGCTCAAGAAAAATATTTTATTTGCTATCATTTTCTTTAATGTTGTACTTAGAACCATATTTTTGTGTAAGAATATTGAATTTCTTACTTAAGAGAAACTGTTTCAATACAAAATTGTAGGCTTTTCATCCCCGCGGCCCTGATTTTGACAAAGGCAGAAAATACCATGAAAATTAATCATCCAATATTTACTTAAAGTTAACTTTTTATACTTACATTATACTAATTTCTGAAGAGCCCTTGTAAAAATCTATTTCAAGACCGGGCGTGGTGGCTCACGCTTATAATCCCAGCACTTTGGGAGGCCAAGGAGGGTGGATCACCTGAGGTCAGGAGTTGAAGACCAGCCTGAGCAACATGATGAAACGCCATCTCTACTAAAAATACAAAACTAGCTGGAACTGGTGGTACATGCCTGCGGTCTCAGCTAGTTGGGAGGCTGAAGCAGGAGGATCGTTTGAACCCAGGAGGTAGAGATTGCAGTGAGCTGAGATCGCGCCATTGCACTCCAGCCTGGGCAATAAGAGTGAAACTCTGTCTCAAAACATGCATATATGCGTGCGTGCGTGCACACACACACACACACACAATATCTGTTTCAGAGTGTCAGAGTGATTGGGTTCTCTGTAGGTGCATGAGTGGAGGAAGCATTATTTTTGAAGGGCTAGCAATGAAATGTCTCTAATTTATTATAAATTTAATTTATAGCCCAATCAATTGAGCAGAGACTGATGAAAATGGATCACACTGCAATCCACCCACATCTACTTGATATGAAAATTGGTCAAGGCAAATATGAGCAGGGGTTCTTTCCAAAGTTACAGTCCGATGTCTTGGCAACAGGACCAACCAGTAACAAGTAAGCATGTTCTTCACTTGAGTAGTTGGTTGAAGGAATGAATGAAGGGTGGGGTGCTCTGCAACTCAAATGGACAATGCTTAACTATTAAACATCTATCTGATTACTTTTTTCATGACCACATTAATGCATTTGAAATATGGATTGACACTTCTGTCAGTGCTTGACCTTTAAATCCATCATTTAAAAAAAAAAAGAAAAAAACAAAGGCTAGAGATTTTTTTTTCTTTTTCAAGCAAAGTACACTTGGAAAAGCCACACTTTAAATGGCGATTTAAATATAATGATAATACTATCTAATGGAATTTAGAAAGGTTAGACCTTTATCATCTGTGTTAGTTTCCTAGGGCTGCTATAACAAAGAACCACAAACTCAGTGGCTTAAAACAACAGAAATTATTCTTCCACAGTTTTGGGGGGTAGAAATTTGAAATCAAGGAATTGGCAGGGCCACGCTCCCTTCGAGGCTTCTAGGGAATGATCCTTCCTTGCCTTTTCCAGCTTTTAGGAGAACATAAGAGAGTTTAGCAACAGCCTGTCACACCAGTCTAATGAGATCCTTCCAGATGAAAGAGCCTTCAGATGTCTCACCTCTGCCTTAAACTGGGTTCTGTTAAGAGGAGTGGTTCCAGAGAAGACAGGATAGTACTTTGGGTAGCAAGATATATTCTTAGGCTCTATCTTCCCTCTTGAAGAGCTAAAGAGAAAATTTTTTGAAAAGAAAATTTTTAGTTTTAGTATCCTTTTAAATATTTAGAAAAGGAACACCAAACAGTAAAGTGAAAGAATTGTGGCCAGGCATGGTGGCTCACGCCTGTAACCTCAGCACTTTGGGAGGCCGAGGCAGGCAGATAGCTTGAGCCCAGGAGTTCAGGACCAGCCTAGCCAATGTGGCGAAACCCTGTCTCTACAAAAAAGATAGAAAAATTATCTGGGCATGGTGATGTGCACCTGTAGTCCCATTTACTCAAGTGGGAGAATCACTTGAGCCCCAGGAGGTTGAGGCTACGGTGAGCCGTGATTGCACTACTGCCCTTCAACCTGGGAAACAGGCCCTGTCTCAAAAAATAAAAATAGTATTAAAAAGAATTGTGGATTAAAAACAGCAACAACAACAACTTCATTTGGAGCTGGGTGTGGTGGCACATGCCTGTATCCCTAGCTACTTGGGAGGCTGAGATGGGAGGATCACTTGAGCCCAGGAGTTGGAGGTTGCAGTGACCTATGATCACCACTATTATCCAGCCTGGGCAACACAGCGAGGCCCTGTCTCAAAAAAAAAACTTGGGCCAGGCACGGTGGCTCACGCCTGTAATCCCAGCACTTTAGGAGTACGAGGCAGGAAGGATCACTTGAGCCCAGGAGTTTGAGACCAGCCTGGGGAACATAGGAAGGCCCTGTCTCTACAAAAAAATACATACATTTTTTTTGAGACAAGGTCTTGCTCTGTTGCCCAGGCTGGAGTGCTGTGGCCCGATCATGGTTCATTATAGCCTTGACCTCCCCAGGCTCACGTGATCCTCCTGCCTCAGCCTCCCAAGTAGCTGGAACTAAAGGCACATGCCACCACACCTAGCTAATTTTTGTATTTTTTTATAGAGACAGGATTTTGCCTTATTGCCCAAGCTGGTGTTGAACTTCTGGGCTCAAGCAACCTGAACTCCTTGGCCTCCCAAAGTGCTGGGATTATAGGTGTGAGCCACCAGGCCAAGCCCCTACAAAAATTTTTTTTTAAATTAGGCCAGGCATGGTGGCTCATGCCTGTAATCCCAGCACTTTGGGAGGCCTAAGCAAGTGTATCACTTGAGGCCAGGAGTTAAAGACCAGCCTGGCCAATGTGGCGAAACCCCGTCTCTACTAAAAATACAAAAATTAGCTGGGTGTGGTGGTGCATGCCTGTCATGCCAGCTACTTGGGAGGCTGAGGCATGAGAATCACTGGAGCCTGGGAGGCAGTCAGGCATGCAACTATAGTCCCAGCTACTGGTGAGGCTTAGGTGGGAGGATCACTTGAACCTGAGAGGTCTAGGCTGCAGTGAGCCATGATGTGATCGCATCACTGCATTCCAGCCTGGTCAACCTTGCAAAGACCCTCTTTCAAAAAAACAAAAAACCCTTCGTTTGATTGACCTTTCATTTAAAAGGCTGTCTCAACTTTAATGAAGGCAGTACTAGAGGATGGTTCACTAGAAATGTGGAAAAGTTATATATTCAGAATGAAATTTTCTCCTCTTGTAGAAAATGCACGTTTATACCAAAGTCTTGGGGAGGAAAATTGTTCAAGAGCATTTAATATGCTGCTTACAAGACAGAAGCAAATAACTAATGACTGAAATTTTTATTGTACTTGCCTTAGTTTGCAGGGTTTCACCCTCCAGTGAAGGGGTGGCCCTGCTTTTATACACACTGAACTTAAAAAATGTGCTAAGATGCGAGGCCTGGTGGCACTCCCCAGTACTACCTACTGGGAGGCTGAGGAGGAAGTATTCCTTGAGGCCAGGAGTTGGAAGCCACGACGTGCAATGATTGTGTCTGTGAATAACCTCCAGCATAGGCAACATAATGAGACCTCATCTTTATTTTAAAAAAAGAAAAAAAATGTGCTAATAGATACTGATGGTTGTGAGGGTTCAAACTTTCCAGATAATGGTACTAGATACAATATTCTATTTTTCAGAAGTGGATGATAATTAAGAGAATTTTCCATAAGAACAGATTAGCCATCAGTTTATTAATTTTTTCTTTTATTTGTGAAGTATCCTAATTGTTCGAATCACTTTGATCTGGATAGACTATTAGTTTAACAGTTTTTGTTTCCTTTTTTTTTTTTTTTTTTTTTTTTTTTTGAGACGGAGTCTCCCTCTGTTGCCCAGGCCAGAGTGCAATGGTACGATCTCAGCTCACCGCAACCTCCACCTCCCAGGTTCAAGCGATTCTCCTGCCTCAGCCTCCCTGAGTAGCTGGGATTACAGGCATGCGCCACTACGCCAGGCTAATTTTATTTTTTTATTAGAGACAGGGTTTTACTATGTTGGTTAGGCTGGTCTAGAAATCCTGACCTCAGGTTATCCGCCCACCTCGGCCTCCCAAAGTGCTGGGATTACAGGCGTGAGCCACTGCACCCGGTGCTTTTTTTTCCTTTTGATGGCATTAGATTGTTCATTCATTCATTTGGCAAATATTTATGGAACTCTTACTATATGTGAGGACTGTCCTAGTCACCACGAGTTTATTAATGAACAAAACAACAAAAATCTCTGCTTCCAAGTGCAAGTAAACAAAAAAAAAAGGAACCTAATATGTCAAGTAACATGTCAGATGATAAGAGTTATGAAGAAAAACAAAGTAGGAAAGAAAAGTAGAGAGTGCTTAGGAGGGAGGAGTTTAATTTTGAAATCTTATAGCCTTATTTTCTTGCTTTTGCCTTATATATAATCTTATGGTTTCCCATTTCCACACGAAGCCTCAGTCATTACGTTTTCAGGTAGATATAGTCAAGAGAAAAGATCTCAGAACAATTGCAGGGTAAATGGATTTATAACCATGCCTGTGGATCAACTGTTGAGAGAACTTCATATGCTGTTTACAAGACAGAACAAAATAAGCAGTCTTTAGTATTTCAGCAATTGTGATTATCATTGGTAAAATTATGCTTAGTAAATAAAGTTTAATAATGCAAAGAATAAATTAATTACTTAACAAGACCAGGAATGTGTGGACTTCATAGCAGTTTGCTTAAGCGCAGTGCTCATTTCCCTGTTTTGAAAATAAAATTAAGTAGGCCATTTTGTTCCACAGAGTGTATAGTAAGAGCTAGTTATATTTAAGTTAATCTTTATCCTTTTCTGCCTGCCAAAGACACAGTTTTATGCCATTTATATTTTTGTGCCTTCCTTTTCGTTTATTATATAAGTCCGTTAGCTAGTATTTATATTCTGTTTCATATTTTTACTATTTATTTGGACTACCTTGCCCATTAACCCTAATTTTTAAAATCCCTGAGCAAACTTTGTGTTATACTGACCTTTTTTGCTACAGGGCTGTTTTCAAGGCCTCCATATCAAAGATCTACACCCAGGTCTTTGTACATTTTGTTTGTTATTTATATTCTATTCTTCCCCTTTAAAGATCTTCAGGTTGTGTTTATATTCTGTTTCAGAATCTTAATGTGTTTTTTGTGGTTCATAATTTTCAATCACCCCCGATTCTTTTTGTATCCTTTTTACAGTCTTACATTGCTCTTTTGCTTTGGAGACATTTCCAGGGATTCCACTTCAAAGATCTGTAACTAGATCTTTGCACATTTTTCCCTTATATAAACCATAAACCTACTCCTCTTCTTAAGAAACTATTTTGAGAGGGGCTACCTTCCTTGATACCATTGTAAAAAGAGTAAGTATTCTTAGGATAATGAATACATTTCATGAGGATGATAGGTAAGAGCTGAGAAAATTTTAAAAAATAGATGGATACAATATTTGCTCTTTAAAAATCTGGAATATTGGCCAGGCGCAGTGCCTCATGCCTGTAATCCCAGCAGTTTGGGAGGCCAAGACAGGTGGATAACAAGGTCAGGAGTTCAAGGCCAGCCTGGCCGAGATGGTGGAACCCCATCTCTACTAAAATACAAAAATTAGCCGGGCACGGTGGCTGGAGCCTGTAATTCCAGATACTCGGGAGGCTGAGGCAGGAGAATCACTTGAGCGGCAGAGGTTGCAGTGAGCTGAGATCAAGCCACTGCACTCCAGCTTGGGTGACAGAGTGAGACTTCGTCTCAAAAAAAGAAAAAATCTGGAATACTAGAAAGTGATGGGGTTAATTTTTAACCACTCAGAATCGCATCACCATGGAATGTTAAAATGTGATATTATGCTCTTACATAGCAAGGTTGGGGGAGCAGGAGAACGGGAGTGCACACATCTTGTTTTTGAAACAAAATTAAAATGTTTATAGAATGTTATACCTTTTTTATTACTGTATCATTAGCATTCTCATATTATTAGAAATTTGAATTTTTTAATGACTGCATGAGATTTCATTGTATACTACCCTCTACTGTTGAACATTTCGGTTGTTTTGAGTATATTTTCTTGATTCTACTGTTGGTTGTACGATCTGCAATTAACTCAAAGGCTTTTAGGAAAAAGTATATATTAAACATGCATATGGACTGAAAGATGCATCCTAATTTCAGGAACATTTAAAAGCCAAAATGTGAGTCTTGGAATAAAGGAAATACAGTTTGTTATTACATATCTATATGCTGTGATGAACATCTGTAAACCTACATGTTAGACTGCATCTCTGTTTACTTAATTGTATTTATACAAGGGGCAGATGATGGCCAGGCATGGTGGTTCACGCCTGTAATCCCAGCACTTTGGGAGGCCGAGGCCAGAGGATCACGAGGTCAGGAGATCGAGACCATCCTGGCTAACACAGTGAAACCCCGTCTCTACTAAAAATACAAAAAATTAGCCTGGCGGGTGCCTGTAGTCCCAGCTACTCGGGAGGCTGAGGCAGGAGAATGGCATGAACCCGGGAGGCAGAGCTTGCAGTGAGCCAAGATTGTGCCACTGCATTCCAGCCTGGACGACAGAGTGAGACTCCGTCTCAAAAAAAAAAAAAAGGGGGGGGCAGGTGCTATAGTAGACTTTGCCAGTAAGATGGCTGACAGACAAGATACTGGCCCTTCTAGAGGAGATTTTATAGAAAATGGAGATAAGTAACTATAATACTCTGTGATAGATACTATAATTGAGGCGTACAGGATGGGTAGCTAACTTAGATTTGAAAGAGTCATAGAACACTTTCTGGAAGCAGTGGCCTCTAATCTATCTGAAAGGTGAATGAAAGTTGGGAGAAAACTTCATGGACAAAGGCTCAGAGGTGACAGAACTTATTTCATTGGAAACACTGAGGTTGAAAATTGCAGGAGCTGGGTCGGGCGCAGTGACTCACGTCTGTAATCCCAGCACTTTGGGAGGCTGAGGCGGGCGGATCACCTGAGCTCAGGAGTTCCAGACCAGCCTGGCCAACATGGTGAAACCCCGTCTCCACTAAAAATACAAAACTTAGCTGGGCATGTTGGCACATGCCTGTAATCCCAGCTGCTTGGAAGGCTGAGGCAGGAGAATTGCTTGAACCTGGGAGGCAGAGGTTGCCGTGAGCTGAGATTGCGGCATTGCACTCCAGCCTGGGTGACAAGAGCAAAACTCTATCTCCAAAAAAAAAGAAAATTGCAGGAGCTTAAAAGTAGAAAGAGCGATCAGCAGTACTAAATGTAGAAGAGGTTTTGAGTAAGCTAAGGATCAAATAATAGCCATTGGATTTGGCAGTTAGGGGTTTCAGTGGCTTCATCAAGAGGATTTTTAGGATTGGGCACGGTAGCTCATGCCTGTAATCCCAGCACTTTGGGAGGCCGAGGCGGGCAGATCACTTGAGGTCAGGAGTTCGAGACCAGCCTGGCCAACATAATGAAACCCTGTCTCTACTAAACAATACTAAAATTAGCTGGGTTTGGTGGCACATACCTGTAGTCCCAGCTACTTGGGAGGCTGAGGCAGGAGAATCACTTGAACCCGGGAGACGGAGGTTGCAGTGAGATCACGCCACTGCACTCCAGCCTGGGTGGTAGCCTGAGACTCCGTCTCAAAAAAAAAAAGTGGGGGGGCTTTAGGCAGCTGGGAACAGACACACCTGTAATCCCGGCACTTTGGGAGGCTGAGACAGGCAGATCGCATTAAGCTCAGGAGTTCAAGACTGATCTAGGCAACATGGTAAAACCCTGTCTCTACAAAAAATACAAAAATTAGCTGAGCATTGGTGGCTTGCACCTGTAATCCCACCTACTTGGGAGGCCGAGGTGGGCGGATCACATGAAGGTCAGGAGTTCGAGACCAGCCTGGCCAACATGGTGAAACCCCATCTCTACTAAAAATACAAAAATTAGCCGGGTGTGGTGGTGTGCACCTGTGATCCCAGCTATTCGGGAGACTGAGGCAGGAGAATCACTTGAACCCAGGAGGTGGAGGTTGCAGTGAGCCGAGGTCTTGCCACTGTACTCCAGCCTGGGCGACAGAACAAGACTCCGTCTCAAACAAACAAACAAACTAAAACAAAATTTAAAAAGCGTTTTCAAGGGAAGTAGATGATTTGAAATGAACTGAAGATCCAAACGTAAATAAGTAGAAGTCTTACATCTAAATATTTTAAGAATTTTTACATCAGAGGTGTGAAGAAACAGATGTTAACATGACTACAGAGGGCCACGAGGGAGACCAACATGCTTGTCAGCTGAAGAGATTCCACTGAGAAAAAGATTGGCGATACAGCAAAGGAGGTGACTAATGGAGCGGGTTGAAAAGACGGGAGAATTGGTCAAGGATGCAAGTGGAAGACACAGTTTTGAGCCTTGGCTAATGTATTTTATACTTTGAGATTAGAAGAAAGATGAGGATGTTTATGTGTGTGTATTGTCTAAGTAGAGGGCAGGAAGAAGGAGGCAAGGGTACCTGAGGGTGAAGAGTTTGCAGTAGTCTTTGAGGAGAATGGGGAAGAGTTGATAAAAGGCAGGTGAAGTGATTCATGGGTAGTCGTGAGAGAAATTGGGAACTAGTCTGTGTGGGTACGGGAATAGGGAAGTGAGGGGATAGTCTTCATCCGGGGTTTGGGGCTCTGGTGGGCAGGTAAGGAGGGAAGTAGAGGATTATTACAGAGGAGAGAGTGCTAGAATGGGAGTAGTTTAGGTGGCTTTCCGCAGAATTTATGTTCATAACAGAAAGACGAGAAAGCACCAGGGGTCTTAAGTGAGAGTCAAGGCATGGAAGAGCTAATGTAATGGGAGATGGGGGTCAGTGGCTAAGATGGTGGAGTTCAGGATTTCTGAGGTAGAGGAGTTCTGGATGACCATTGGATTTGGAGAGGAGTTCTGGATGACCATTTGATTTAGTGTGATGTCCTGGTTGCGTCTAAAGCTGAGTGGAGGTGAAGTTGCATGTTAGACGACCCCAGAATTTTAAGACAAAGTTATCTATATAGTCTTTGTACTTCCCATAGCAGGGAAGAAAAGAAAACTGAGCCAGGTTCCAAATTCTTCACTGAATGAAGATGATAGAAAGGAGTGATTAAGGATAATCGCTGGATGGTTGAGTCTTACACACTAAGCTGGAGCCTGTAGGTAGCTAGGCTGGCGACAAAAGGACCTTTGAATAAGGGAAACATTATATATTTTTAAGCCCCTCATATCATCCAGGGCAGGTCTGGGTCTAGGGCACATGAGTTGAATCATTATTAACCAAAAACAAAGGTATTTGAGCTGGAAGGCAACTTACATCTTCGGCCATACCACCTTGAACGCACCTGATCTCATCTGAAAGGCAGTTTCGATACCAGCAGTTTAGTAGCAGAGAAGATTATTATAGAACTAGCACTGATTTTATCAATCATTTAGAAACAGAATGGAGGTTACTATACTGGAACATAGTAATTAGGGGAGAAGTGATATAAGATCAGAGAGAATGAAGCAGAGGTCTTTATATTTAAGAGTTTTATAGGCCTTGGAAAAGAGCTCAGGTTTTATTTTAAACTCATTTGTCCTGCATATTTTGATACTGAGTTTATATTATAAATATTTTCTAAAACTGATAAACACAAGCTATCACTTCAGAAACACAGTCATGAAATTTTAGAGCAAAAAGGAATCACAGTGGTCTTTGAGTACAACCCTTAGACTTTACAGATGAGGACTCACTCTTATGAGTTTGAATCTTTCTATTTATCTTGAGATGGGATATCACTGTCATCCAGGCTGGAATGCAGGAGTGCAGTCGTGGCACACTGCGGCCCCAAACTCCTGGGCTCAAATTATCTTCCCACTTCAGCCTCCCAAGTAGCTAAGGAGGCTAATTTTTTAAATTTTTTGTAGAGACAGTCTCACTATGTTGCCTAGGCTGGTCTCGAACTACTGGCCTCAAGTGATCCGGCCAAAGTGCTAGGATTACAGGTGTAAGCCATTGCAACTAGTCAAGTTGGATAGAAATCTTTCCTTAAAAGGTTGGAAGCTTCATACATTTCTATTCTTTTAGGACGCTAGAATTAAGTAATTCTAAATTATGGGTTTTGAGAATATTCTTTGTATTAAAAAATATTCATAATATTTACTTTGAGCAAGTCAAGGCATTACTATTATATGTCAATATAATCAAGGACTAACTCGGTTAAGATTTGACTTATTGTTATGTATGTAAGTATCTAAAGTGTATTGATACTGTGCCTTTTTGACCTCAGTTTTTAAAAATTCTGATTGTGGTGATGACAGCACATATCTGGAAAGATACTAAAAACCGTTTGGTTGTATGTTTTAAATGGGTGCATAGTATGGTATTTTAATTATATTTTAACAAAGCTGCTATATATTTTTTAAATAATTGATTTTAAAATGTGTGTGTCAGTCTTTTGTGTTGAATGGTTAATGCTTTCTATTTTAAAGATAAGGAACACATTTTTAAATAATTTGATTGTTTCAGTCGCTGGGTAAGTCGGAGTGCCACTGCACAGCGCAGGAAAGAACGCCTTCGCCAGCATTCTGAGCATGTTGGGCTGGACAACGACTTGAGGGAGGTATGTGGTCTACCTTCCTGGGGTGCCTCACAGCAAGCGCCATGAACTAGGCTTATTCCTTCCAGCAGATGTCATTGTGTAGATTCTTAATGTTCTTTAAAAAAAAAACTGTTTAGTTATAGTTTAAAATATTAATCCTTTTGTACGGACATATAGCAGAAAACACCCTTTTTTCCATTTTTGTAATTTCAAGACATCTATAATAAGGCTCTAAAACAAGTCTTTCTGTGTATTACATCAAGTAAAGATCAAGTTGAGGATAAATTTTTAGTTACTATGTCTCCTATAGGAGAAAAATTGTCTGCATGAGAAGCCTAGACATTTCTAAGTTTCAAGCATAATTATAAGGAGTAGTGTGATGTACTTGCCTATGCTTTGTTCTTGGCTTGCTGGCACCAGTTTTTTTTCTTGAATCTCTAAATCTACTTTATATTTTTGAAAGTGTTTTAAAACTATTTTTAAATTAAGATCCTTACACTTTTATTTGTACTCTTTGAAAATAAGACCATAATTATACAACAAGTAAGTTTTGATTTTTTTCTGTGTGAAATCTGCATATATATATAGTGTCTTGCTATGTTGCCCAGGTCTTGAACTCCTGGGCTCAAGCAGTGCTCCTGCCTCAGCCTCCCAAAGTATTGGGATTACAGGTGTGAGCTGCCATGCCCAGCCTGATTGTTTCGTTTCTTATGATCAAAAGAGAAATGCAATCAGAAGACTTGTTAACTGTTTTCTAGTATCAAATTTGTAAAAATAAAGCAGAAAACATCATCCCAAACATCTCTTGTTTTTGTTGTGTTCATACATATATGATTTTAAACATTTTATTAAGAACTGAGGCATCACCTGTGTAGTGCTTTTTTTTTTCCGGCTACTGTATTTTCTTCCCTTCCCTCTCTTTTGCTGTGATTTTATCATATGCATGCTTGTTCTGCTTGTCTCTTTCTCCCTATCCTTTTCTTTTTTGCTTTCCTGTCATTGGCATTTCTCCATCCTCTTAGCCTTCCGGGGAACTTTTGGTCTGTCAGAACTCCATGGCATTCTGGGAGTGGGACCAGGGTCCACCTCCTCCTGCACGACTTCCTAAAAAATCCTTCTCTGAGTGCTGCCTGGTATGTTCTTTGCTTGAAAGTGCTTTACCAGATGTTCCCCCAATCTTGTCTTTGGTGTTACTTGAATGTTACACATGTGTGAGTGCACATAGCTCTAGAATGCCTCACATGACCTTGAGATGTGAACTCACACTCCCCATTTTGCTCTCTGCTTCTTGTTATGTTTAGTCCCTTTCTGTGTTTGTGTGTGCTAATATGAGTAATTCTATGCTGCTGACATGTAAAACTAATCATTTGGGTCTCTAATCAGTGGGATTTTTTTTGTGTGCTAGATAGCAAATTGCCTTACTTCAAAGGGGGAAATGTATTAAATATACAAACTCCCCTTTATTTAAGCGTTTTCCAGAAGTACAGATGTGATTGAATTTCAAATAGCCTTTCTTTTGCTGGGTTTTATCTCCACAGAATTTTAATTTCCCCTTCCTGGTCTGTATTTTATGTGGTCAGAAAATTCAGTCATCAACATAGAATCTCAGTGCCAAGAGGAATCTTTAAGGTCATCTTGTCCAATTTGACATGATTAAATTGAAGTCCAAGAGATTAGCCCAGAGTTAAAAGCACACAAAGACAGAGCTGGACCTATAGCCCAAGACTCCTGACTTCTAGGCCAATATTCTTTCCATTTACCCTGCATGCCAGCTTGCACTAACCACTGTTCACTTGAGGCAACAAGCAACTTAGAAATCTTGCTTATAGTTTTCCCCCATTATGTCATACTAGCTTAAATCTATTTTACAATGGTCTTCTCTTCACAAGTTGAACACCAACTTGTAAAGGGCTAGGGCGTTTACTAGAAAATTCTGGGAGAGCCTGTATTAAAGAGCAGTTAGTTCAGTGTTTATTGAATAATAGGATATATTTTCATAGGTAGTTCCTAGTGGTTTGTTTCATTTGTCTTAAGCAGAAATAAAGAAGAGCACAGTAGTAATCTCAGAAGAAATCTGGGGTTACTTCTAGACTGTATTATAAAAGCATTTCTTGTGAAAAGTCTCTCTCCTATATTTTTCATCTTGAAATATGTTTTTTCCTCCAGATGTTATTTTTATCATCACTTGTTTATTTTAAAGGCAGTTGCTCTGTTTTTGCAATTTGCAGAGGCAGCCTCCCTTCTTGCTGTGAAGAGAGGCCTTTTGCCGCCCCCTGTATCCTTTCTGTGCATGTCCATGGAATGTTGCTATTTCTATGGCTCCAGCAGAGATGCCCAGAAGGAGACTTTGCACATGGCCCTATGGAATCCACTGTTGGCTAATAACTGTACCTGCCCCATATGTACTGGGGGCTCAGTAAATTGGTCACTCATAGGACAGCCACCGTCTAGCTTGTTTTCCTTTATATAAAACAGGACATAAACTTTAAACAGTGCTTAATTTTTTGTTTGTTTTTGAGACGGAGTCTCCCTCTGTCGCCAGGCTGGAATGCAGTGGCGTGATCTTGGCTCACTGCAACCTCCACCTCCTGATCTTCCTGCCTAGGCCTCCCAAGTAGCTGGGACTACAGGCACGTACCACGCCCACCTAATTTTTTTTTTTTTTTTTTTTTTTTTTTGTATTTTTAGTAGAGACGGGGTTTCACCATGTTGGCCAGGATGGTCTCGATCTCTTGACCTTGTGATCCTCCCACCTTGGCCTCCCAAAGTGCTGGGATTACAGGTGTGAGCAACCTTGACCAGCCGACAGTGGTTAATTTTTAATCCAGTAATTGACTTTAAAAAGTATTCAGGGGCCAGGCGCAGTGGCTTACACCTTTAATCCCAGCACTTTGGGAGGACGAGGCGGGCGGATCACTTGAGAACAAGAGTTCGAGTCCAGCCTGGCCAACATGGTGAAACCCCGCCTCTGCTAAAAATACAAAAACTAGCCGGGTGTGGTGGCATGTGCCTGTAATCCCAGCTACTCAGGAGGCTGAGGCAGGAAAATTGCTTGAACCTGGGAGGCGGAGGCTGCAGTGAGCTGAGATCATGCCGCTGCACTCCAGCCTGGGCAGCAGACCAAGACTCTGTCTCAAAAAAACAAAAACCAAACAAACAAAAAAGTATTCAGGCTGGGCGGTGGCTCACACCTATAATCCCAACAGTTTGGGAGGCTGAGGTGGGGAGATCATTTGAGATCGGGAGTTCGAGACCAGCCTGGCCAACATGGTGAAACCCCATCTGTACTGAAAATACAAAAATTAGCCAGGTGTTGTAGCACGCGCCTATAATGCCAGCTACTTGGGAGGCTGAGGCAGGAGAATCAGTTGAACCCAGGAGGTGGAGGTTACAGTGAGCCAAGATTGCACCACTGCATTACAGCCTGGGCAACAGAGTGAGACTCTGTTTTAAAACAAAAAAAACCAGGCAGGGCGTGGTGGCTTACACCTGTAATCCCAGCACTTTGGGAGGCCAAGTTGAGTGGATCACTTGAGGTCAGGAATTTGAGACCAGCCTGGCCAACATGGCGAAACCCCGTCTCTACTAAAAATATAAAAATTAGCCAGGTGTGGTGGCCAGCACCTGTAATCCTAGCTACTCGAGAGGCTGAGGCAGGAGAACTGCTTGAACCCAGGAGGCGGAGTTTGTGGTGAGCCAAGACCGAGCCACTGCACTCCAGCCTGGGTGACAGAACGAGACTTCGTCTCAAGAAAAAAAATAATAATAATAAATAAATAAAAACTAACCTTCAGACCATTTATATAGACCTTGTTACATTTGACTTCTCTGCTGGTAATGGTTGATAGATTTTAAAAATCAAATAAACTCGCTGGGCAGGGTGGCTCATGCATGTAATCCCAGCACTTTGGGAGGCCAAGGCGGGCAGATCACGAGGTCAGGAGTTTGAGACCAGCCTGACCAACATAGTGAAACCCTGTCTCTACTGAAAATACAAAAATTACAGCCGGGCGTGGTGGCTCACGCCTGTAATCTCAGCACTTTGGGAGGCCGAGGTGGGCGGATCACAGGGTCAGGAGTTTGAGACCAGCCTGACCAACATGATGAAACCCCGTCTCTTAAAAATATAAAAATTAGCCGGGCGTGGCCGGGTGCAGTGGCTCACACCTGTAATCCCAGCACTTTGGGAGGCCGAGGCGGGTGGATCACGAGGTCAGGAGATTGAGACCATCCTGGCTAACACAGTGAAACCCTGTCTCTACTAAAAATACAAAAAAATAGCCGGGTGTGGTGGCAGACGCCTGTAGTCCCAGCTACTTGGGAGGCTGAGGCAGGAGAATGGTGTGAAACCAGGAGGCGGAGCTTGCAGTGAGCCGAGATCGCGCCACTGCACTCCAGCCTGGGCGACACAGGGAGACTCCGTCTCAAAAATAAATAAATAATTAGCCGGGCATGGGATGTGCACCTGTAATCCCAGCTACTCAGGACGCTGAGGCAGGAAAATCACTTGAACCTGGAAGGCGGAGGTTGCAGTGAGCCGAGATCAAGCCATTGCACTCCAGCCTGGGTGACAGAGCGAGACTCCGTCTCAAAAAAAAATACAAAAATTAGCTGGGCATGGTGGCGCGTGCCTGTAATCCCAGCTACTCAGGAGGCTGAGGCAGGAGAATTGCTTGCACCTGGGAGGCAGAGGTAGCAGTTAGTTGAGATTGCACCACTGCTGTTCAGCCTGGGTGACAGATCGAGATTCCGTCTCAAAAAATAAAAATAAACTCTGCAGTTCTCATAACATTTATGTATACTTCTTTCTGCTGCAAACATTTTTTTTTTTTTGAGATGGAGTCTTGCTTTTGTCACCTAGGCTGGAGTGCGATGGCACGATCTTGGCTCATTGCAACGTCCGCCTCCCAGGTTCAAGCAATTCTCCTGCCTCAGCCTCCCGAGTAGCTGGGATTACAGGCACCCGCCACATTTTTGTATTTTTAGTAGAGATGGCGTTTCACCATGTTGGCCAGGCTGGTCTCGAATGCCTGGCCTCTGCTTCAAACATTTTTAAGAGGGTCAAAGAAATAAGAGAAAATTGAGAATTAGAGACAACTGTTAAAATGATTGGACTGGAAAAAAACATTATTTTGTTAATTTTGCCTTTCGTCACAAAGGTTGGGAGGTAGCAGGTAAACAGATTAGTGGAATCCCTAATCAGTGGGATTTTTTTTATTTGTACCAGACTTAGCAGATTATTTTCTTCCAAAGGAGAAATATATTAAATGTACAAACTCTCTTTTTTAAAGAATGCAAAGGATTTTACACATCTTCTTTTATAATATCAAGCTCTCCTCTGAAGATAGTAAGGATAGATTTCACATATGTGCCCGTGGGAGGATGTGCTGGCTTGCCGTCTCAGTCTCCATGCTGCCCCCCACTACCAGCCAATAAACTGCTACTTTTACTATATAATGTAGAGCAGTTATTCTCTAAATATGGTCCTAAGTCACTTGGACTTTTTGGAAAATTCTGCCCTGTGATCCTGATGTAAACATAAGGTATCCAGATGATTTTTTTTTTTTTTTGAGATGGAGTCTTGCTCAGTTGCCCAGGCTGGAGTGCAGTGACGCCATCTCCACTCACTGCAATCTCCGCCTCCCAGGTTCAAGCGATTCTTCTGCCTCAGCCTCCCGAGTAGCTGGGATTACAGACGTCCACCACCACGCGTGGCTAATTTTTGTATTTTTAGTAGAGATGGGGTTTTAACCATGTTGGCCAGGCTGGTCACGTGCTCCTGACCTCTGGTGATCCACCCACCTCGGCTTCCCAAAGTGCTGGGATTACAGACGTGAGCCACCGCCTGGCCTCTGGATGAACTTTTATAGACAGCATAGAAAGAAGAGAGAGAGCACATGTCTTGCACTAAACACATGTAGTGATTTTTTTAATAGAAATTCACTAACCAAAGCTCAAGAGCATTTGGTTAAGTTTCTGTGATACCTTAGAGTTACCACAAACCCCAAAAGTAACACTGTAATTCACTTTCTCTTGATTATAGAACAAGGCAAGGTAGGGCTTTAGCAAAAACATCACAGAAAGAGGCCACCTTCACTTGGAGCACATCGTGCTTTTCAGAGTGATCCTATAGCCTTTTGGGGAGGTAGGGGGGCATGTTTTATGCCCATTTAACAAGCTGAGATGCACAAACATTAGTTGATAACACCTGAGTCATAAAATTAGTTACAACCAGATTCGAAAGCTCCTGATTTTACTGTTGTGACTTGATTATAGAGCAAAGGGTTAGATTGGAGAGCACTGCCCAGGAGGCTAGAGGTATGTTAAGTCTTACTGTATGGGGAAAGGAGTGGAGGAAATCAGTGATCTGAGAACAGCTGGGCTCCTGCAGAACCTTGGATTTGTGATCTAAACACCTAAATTTTTTTGTCCCAACCACAGTCCTGACTTCACAACCTTTTGTATTCCCAATAAAAAGACTAAATGAAATGAAATGTCATCTCACTTTGAATGAGTTTTAACGTGATGGGGTTTCTGTCACTTTACTTCTCACAGGAGTTAACAGTTGTTATGGGGTGGCATATGAGTGTCCTCTGTCTTTTAGTACACTAAAACATTAATTGTTGTTATATGCACATACACTTACGGACTTTTTTGCATTTCATTTGTCTCTGCACTTGTTTGTATAAGGTTAAGAAGATTAGAAGAATAGCTAATGTTTACGCATTAAAAATACTCCTTGATTTTTTAGAAATATATGCAAGAGGCACGAAGTTTAGGAAAAAACCTGAGGCAACCCAAACTGTCAGACCTCTCTCCTGCAGTTATTGCACAGACCAACTGTAAATTCGTAGAAGGCTTATTAAAAGAATGTAGAATGAAGGTATGTATTATTCACTGATGCCAGACAGTGTGCATTCATGTTTACACCATGTGTGAGGCTAAGATGAACTGAGTTAACCCCCATTTAAGCATGTAATTTTGCTAGAAGAAAACTTTTACTGTGGCATTGACCTCATGTGCTCTTTACTCGGGTATTGAACCTCCATGGGTTCTTCATTCCCCACAGAATCAATGACATGAGAGCCTTCTACCATTTTTCTCACCTTTTCAGACATTGCTCTCCTCCTCACCAACATGAACGGATGTCTTAAGCCACTCATAATTTGCGTCAGGAATGTTGTCATCTTATGTGAAAGGCAACACTTTTGTGTCTGTGTATGCACCTGTGTACAACCTTATTTGTGCCTGTACATGGTTTTTGTCCCCATAAGGAAAAATACCTTAGCTGTGTTGTAGGTTTGTGTATATTGCACAACGTTCTCCTCTCAGAAACCTGTGTTTATTGGAGGTAGCAGTACAAATTGACAAAACTTAAAACATCATTTTAGCTAATGATTTTATTTATTTATTTGACAGTCATTTCTTGAGTACCTTCTCTGCATATTCAATAAATGTACTACTATTTTCAGCATCAGTATATAGTGGTGAATTAAAGTTCTTGCCTAAAAGAGCTAGATTCTCTCTCATTTTACATTTTATAAAAGCTACTAAGACTGATGCAAATTAACTTACATGAAACTGATTTCCATTTTCTTTCCATTTTTTGGTGCATGCTTGATGAACAAAGAAAAGATAAAAAAGGAGAAGTAAAGTCCTGGTTCATTCACAAATTAGAGTTCTCAAAAAATTTAGAGCTGCCCATTTGTATTCTGGTTTTTACCTAAGTGCAATCAAACTAAGTGCAAGAATCTTTAGTATGCTAAGATGCTGGGGCAGTGATAGGGCAAGTTGTGGTGGCAGGATGGGGTTCCATATTCTGACAGTACATTTTCTTTTTTTATTGTTTCTTGTTTTTTGAGACAGAGTCTCGCTCTATCACGCAGCGGGCTGGAGTGCAGTGGCATGTGATCTCAGCTCACTGCAACCTCTACCTCCTGGGTTCAAGCAATTCTTCTGCCTCAGCCTCCCAAATAACTGGGATTACAGGCGTGTGCCACTACTGCCCGGCTAACTTGTATTTTTAGTGGAGACAGGGTTTCACCATGTTGGCCAGGCTGGTCTCGAACTCCTGACCCCAGGTGATCCACTTGCCTGGGCCTCCCAAAGTGCTGGGATTACAGGTGTGAGCCACCATGCCCAGCCCTGACAGTACATTTTCTAAGTCTGCTGTAATTCCCCAATATCACAGAAGTTAATAATTTGACAACTGTTGTATATAAGCATCTTTTCAACATGGGGATGCCTTACAAATATTATCTTATATTCTCTTTAGTCACACTCCATTTTTCTGACAAAATAGTGACATATAAATTATATTAGTCCAGTTAGTTGAACATCAAGATTAAGAGATTTTTTTCCCAAGGTGATTACAAATCTGCAAATAGAAGTATAATGAAGGGAAACCAAGTCTCCTACTTTAGTAATTGACTTGTTGGTTTTTGGTTTCACTGCTGGGGTGCCTTATGACTACACGTGATATTCTTAGACAAAGCGCATGTTGGTGGAGAAGATGGGACATGAAGCGGTGGAACTTGGCCATGGAGAAGCAAACATCACCGGCCTGGAGGAGAACACCTTGATCGCCAGCCTTTGTGACCTGCTGGAGAGGATATGGAGCCATGGCTTGCAGGTCAAGCAGGTAACAGTTTTAGGAGGTCCTGGTGACATGGCCAGTTAAGAGCCCTGTTAAGAAATGTAACAAGGAGACAAATATGTCATTAAAAAAAAATAGGCTCTTTTGTCACAAGGGGACTAGAAAAATGCCACAGGCATTTTAATTTCAGAAAAAGAAAATATAACCCATGAGCAGGAGGTGGTTTGGGCTCTTTCCTGCTAAGCGGGAAAGGATGAAATAGCACATCATTGCAGAGGCTGTATCCCTAGTAAGTTCCATTAAATGTTTGCCTTTGTCACTGTCCAGAATTAACAGTTCCTTACCATTTTAAGTTATCTAATAATTCAGGGTGAAATCATTCAAATGGTCTCTTTGCTTTTGTCTCTCTAGTCTCCCTTTCTGATTTTTTTCTGATGTGTGCATGTTTCTTTCTTCTTCCCTTTTTCTCTTTCTCCTCTCACCTCGATTTTTTTCTCTTATCGCCACTCCATATATCCAAACATATTTTACATGTAGATGTACACAAGTACATTCTGTGCTGCTAGAGCATTTTAATTCCATGGTTACTAATGTAGCCCATGTAGACAGCCCTAATTACATACAACCAAGTAACAACCTAGCAGACATCAGAAATCTTCTGCCTGCCATGCTGGCCCTTTGCTTAGCTGCTTCCTTTTCCCAGGCTCTTGGTAGTCTTGTCAGTGAGGTACAGGATGACCTTTATGATACATGCAGAAGATGCTCAGAATGTCATACAACTAGGAATGAGTGAGCTTGGGTCACCAGACTTCTAAATGGCTATTGGAATATGAATGATTTGGATGAGAAATTATTTTTTGATGAATTATTTCTTATGAAATTTTTACACATCTTGTACTTTCAGGGGAAGTCGGCTTTGTGGTCACATTTAATTCAATTTCAGGACAGAGAAGAGAAACAAGAGCACCTTGCAGAATCACCAGGTATGACATCATTGGTAAAGAACTAGCAGCACTGGACTCTGAGAAGACTCAATACTATTTGGCCTTGTCTTGATCTCTTTCTCTCTCAAGCTAAAATTTACTCATTTTGCCAATAATGGGATAAAGTAGAAGGAGCAATATTACTTACTAACTGTGAGACCTGGGAAAAGTTACTTGCCCTTTCTGAAGTCCTGCTTCGTCATCTATAAAATAGGAAAAATGAGATTACCTAGGCTAGAACGGTCATGCTGATCAAATAAGGTATCATGTGAAAACCCCCAATGAATTGTAAATGGCCATACAAGGATACATTACTCTCACTAGCATTAGAATTTTTTTTTTTCTTACAAGTTTTATGCTAGGCACGGTGGCTCACACCTGTAATCCCACCACTTTAGGAGGCCAAGGTGGGCAGATCACCTGAGGTTAGGAGTTTGAGACCAGCCTGGCCAACACGGTGAAACCCCATCTCTACAAAAAATGCAAAAATTACCTGGGCGTGGTGGCAGGTGCCTGTAGTCCCAGCTACTGGGGAGGCTGAGGCAGGAGAATCGCTTGAACCCGGGAGGCAAAGGTTGCAGTGAGCCGAGAAGGCGCCACTGCACTACAGCCTGGGTGACAGAGCAAGACTCCATCTCAAAAAAAAAAAAAAAAGTTTTTATAACCATCATTAATGATCTTTCAGGGAGAAAATATGTACATATGTCTCAAAAATTTCAGGAGTTGAATCTCTCTTCAATTTATAGAAAATATAACATGTTAGAAGTGTCATAATTTTTTAGCTAATTATGTAGGATTTTTTAAGCTAAGTGTTCTACCTACTGTGTATTTTTCACAACAACACATGCTTTTCTTTATGTAAAATAACCATTTATTTCACAAAAAAGTAGAAGTAACTATGGGAAGCTAATTGAGATAAAATTGCTTTATACTGAATCAGCCATTTCGGAACCTTTTCAAAAAGTATGGATGACTTTGGACATTCAGAAATGTTTTAGATGGAGTCTCGATCTTGTCACCCAGGTTGGAGTACAGTGGTACGATCTCGGCTCACTGCAACCTCTGCCTCCCAGGTTCAAGTGATTCTCCTGCCTCAGCCTCCTGAGTAGCTGGGATTACAGGTGCATATCCCATGCCCGGCTATTTTTTTTTTTAATTTTTATTTTTGAGACACAGTCTCGCTGTGTCGCCCAGGCTGGAATGCAGTGGCGCGATCTCGGCTCACTGCAAGCTCCACCTCCCGGGTTCATGCCATTCTCCTGCCTCAGCCTCCCGAGTAGCTGGGACTACAGGTGCCCGTGAGCACGCCCAGCTATTTTTTTTTTTTTTTTTTGGATTTTTAGTAGAGACGGGGTTTCACTGTGTTAGCCAGGATGGTCTCGATTTCCTAACCTCGTGATCCACCCGCCTCGGCCTCCCAAAGTGCTGGGATTACAGGAGTGAGCCACCGTGCCTGACCTTAAAGACCCTTTTATTCATCCTAATTTCTTTTCCCTCACTGCCCCTAGAGGGCAACACTATCCTAAATGTAGTATTTATTGTTAGAAACCTAGTGTTTAAATGTATTTAATCAGACAGCTAGGAATATAAGCTGACTACATTGCCCTGGAGCTCCTGTAATCAGAATGCCAAGGTTCTGTTGTCCTTGGCTGTAACTATATTTATAAAGATTCAGATCAAGTTTAAAAGCATTCTCTAGTGTCCATCTTCTCTGCCAGTTTTTCTGTTAAAAAAATAGTAATGAGGCCAGGCATGTTGACTCAACGCCTGTAATCCCAACACTTTGGGAGGGCAAGGCAGGCGGATCACCTGAGATCAGGAGTTCAAGACCAGCCTGGTCAATATGGTGAAACCCTGTTTCTACTAAAAATTAAAAAAAATTAGCCGGGCATGGTGGTGGGCATCTGTAATCCCAGCTACTCAGGAGACTGAGTCAGGAGAATCGCTTGAACCTGGGAGGCAGAGGTTGCAGTGAGCCAAGATTGCGCCACTGCATGCCAGCCTGGGCAACAGAGCAAGACTCCTTCTCAGAAAAGATGTATATTTATAGGAATATGAAATATGTATTAAAACATCAGTTTAAATTGAAATCTCTCATTCTTAAGTAATAAGTTGTAATTATGCAAAAATTAAGTTTTTAAAATCTGGTTTTCCACCAAATACTTTTTTTGCCAATTATTAAGCTTCCTAATGAATGGCAATAAACAGTCTGCATTGTCATATTTAGGAAAGATCCTTAAAGATTTATGATGGGCTGGGCACGGTGGCTCATGCCTGTAATCCTAGCACTTTGGGAGGCCTAGGTGGATGGGTCACTTGAGATCAAGAGTTGGAGACCAGCCTGGCCAACATGATGAAACCCACTCTCTACTAAAAATACAAAAATTAGCCAGGCATGGGTGGCAGGTGTCTGTAATCCCAGCTACTCAGGAGGGTGAAGCAGGTGAATCGCTTGAACCTGGAAGATGGAGGTTGCATTGAGCCAAGACTGCTCCGCTGTACTCCAGCCTGGGCAATGAAGTGAGACTCCATGTCAAAAACAAAAAAAAATTTTGATGGGTTTGAACATTATTCTTACTAGCACTGAATCATGATGAGACTAGATGCTGGATTATTATCATGAGTCTTCAGAAGCAGCACTAAACAGGAGTCAGAGACATTTTAAGAGTTGCAGAGGAATGGAAAGATAGGGACCATAGTGGGTAGGCAGTATTAATTTTGATCTAGTGATCACTGCACCTAGTAGTTTGAAATCCTATTTCAGAGAAAGAAGTTCAGAATACAATTGGTCCTAGAACAAAGACTGTTCTTGACATATCACTCAAAAGTTTTAACCTTTAAATTCGTTGGGAGGACTGAGTGTGGTGGCTCATGCCTGTAATTCC
The DNA here is from genome assembly GCF_000001405.40 of Homo sapiens. Taxonomy (NCBI): domain Eukaryota; kingdom Metazoa; phylum Chordata; class Mammalia; order Primates; family Hominidae; genus Homo; species Homo sapiens. The sequence continues at coordinate 31,420,711 of NC_000012.12, read as the reverse complement.
AGCACTGTGGGAGCTCAAGGAGGACAAATTACTTGAGGCCAGAAGTTCAACACCAGCCTGGCCAACATGGTGAAACCCCGTCTCTACTAAAAATATAAAAGTCAGCCAGGTATGGTGGTGCACACCTGTAATCCCAACTATTCAGGAGGCTGAGGCATGAGTATCTCTTGAACCCAGGAGGCAGAGGTTGCAGTGAGCCAAGATCACGCCATTGCACTCCAGCTTGGGCAACAGAGCAAGATGCTGTCTCAAAAAAAAAAAAAAAATTGTTGGGAGGCTGGATATGGTGACCCAGTTCTGTAATCCCAACACTTTGGGAGGCCAAGGTGGAAGGATCACTTGAGCCCAGGAGTTTGAGACCAGCTGAGGTAACATAGTGAGACCCAGTCTCTACAAAAAAAATTTATTTTTCTTAATTAGCCAGGTATAGTGACACATGCTTGTGGTCCCAGATGCTTGGGAGGCTGAGGTGGGAGGATCACTTGAGCCCAGGGGGTTGAGGCTACAGTGAGTGCTGTGATCCCACCACTGCACTCTAGCTTGGGTGACAGAGCAAGACCCTGTCTCCAAAAAATAATAATAATAAATAAAAACGTTGAGCCAGTTCTTAAACTTTGCACCTTCAGACAAGGTTCTACTAAACTGGAAATGGATTTTGGCAGGGGGTAGGTGTAGAGCCCTTCCACTGAAGGGAGTGGAAATGCTGCCTTTTTTCCTTTTTTTTTTTTTTTTTTTTCTGAGATGGAGTTTCGCTCTTGTTGCCCAGGCTAGAGTGCAATGGCGCAGTCTTGGCTCACTGCAACCTCCACTTCCTGGGTTCAAGCGATTCTCCTGCCTCAGCCTCCTGAATAGCTGGGATTACAGGCGTGTGCCACCACACCTGGTGAATTTTTCTATTTTTAGTAGAAACAGAGTTCACCATGTTGGCCAGGCTGGTCTCAAACTCCTGACCTCAGGTGATCCACCCGCCTCAGCCTCCCAAAGTGCTGGGATTACAGGTGTAAGCCACTGTGCCTGGCCAGAAATGCTGCTTTTAAGTGGTTATTCTGGATCTAACCCAGGAATTTTGAGTCACTCTTCATCTTATCTTCATCAGAAATTATCTATTAATTACTTACCTACCTATAGACTGTACATGGTACTGTAGAAACATACAGTCCCTGCCCTCTACAAACGTGCTGTCTGTGCTACATTTATAAAATTCACCACTCCAAATAGAAAATAAATAAAATGTTTAACTTGTGTTCATTCTTTTTTTTTTTTTGGAGATGGAGTTTCGCTCGCTCTTGTTGCCAAGACTGGATGCAATGGCATGATTTCGGCCCACTGCAACCTCCCGAGTTCAAGAGATTCTCCTGCCTCTGCCTCCCAAGTAACTGGAATTACAGGCATGCGCCACCACATCTGGCTATTTTTGTAGTTTGATTCAGGCAGATGAGCAAATTCTCGTAGCCAAGAATTAAATCCATGAATCTTTATTTTGAAGGAGAAAGTGGCCTATTGTTTGAGTATTTTCAATTAAGAAATAGTAATGGAAGTATACATTTACATAGTTTATAAAATTCTCTTCTAGCTGGAGTAGGATTCATGGAAACCTTCTTAGATTTTAGGTCTCTAGATAAAAGAAGTGGTTCCATTTCCTAACCCCTAATTTGCCCTCTGCTCACAGGCTTTTAAACTCTTCTCTCCAGAGTCACTAATAAATTACTGCATTCATTTCCTAGGGCTGCCATAATAGAGTACCACAAACTGTGTGGTTTAAACAACAGGAATTGCCAGGCACACTGGCTCGCACATGTAATTCCAGCACTTTAGGAGGCCAAGGTGGGAGGATTCCTTGAGCCAGGCGTTTGAGACCAGCCTGGGCAACATAGTGAGACCCCCATCTCTATTATTTAAAATGAAGTTTCTCACTTGTTCTCTAGTTTAAGAGGCATGATTACTTCTGGTTGTCGTGTCTCCCTCTAGCCAACTTGTTAATTATGGTTTCAACTCCCCTTTTTTCCTCTGTCAACCTATTTCTTACCGCCTGTGTGGCCATCTTTCATTCTGTCTAATCATCTGGAGTGTAGAGGCCTTCTCTGAGCCATCTCACTTTGTCCTCAAAAAGAAAGCTGTGGCCGGGTGTGATGGCTCATGCCTATAATCCCAGCACTTTGGGAGGCCGAGGCAGGCAGATCGCTTGAGTCCAAGAGTTTGAGTCCAGCCTGGGCAACATAAACATAGAGACAAAACCCCGTCTCTACAAAAAAAAAACACACAAAAATTAGCCAGGTGTGGTGGCATGCACCTGTAATCCCAGCTATCAAGAAGCTGAGGTTGGAGGATCGCTTAGCCCGGAGGTGGAGGCTGCAGTGAGCCGAGATCATGCCACTGCACTCCAGCCTGGGCGACAAGAGTGAGACCCTATCTCAAAAAAAAAAAAAAAAGAAAAGAAAAAAAGATATGCTTTCTTTAATAACATGTAACACATTCCCTGCAAGTCTGGAACAATTTCTTCAGCATTTATTACCTCTTGGGTGTCAAGATGAATGGGTCTAGTGCCCCATTGAAACTCCCTCCCAAAATCGCCACAACAAATGTCCTATTTATCATCCACATGGTATGGAAGGCCCTTGAAAGTAGTGCTTTTAGATTGGACTGGCCACAACCTCTTCCTTCTGGCAACCCCATCAGTACTCATTTATACCTGCTAGTGTCAAAAGCATAGGGATCCGAATACACCAAAATGTTCCCTATCTTCCTTTAGTGCCAACTTCATATATATTTATGTGTTTTGGTATTGTATCCCAGCCCCCCAAAGTAGAATGAATCTAAAACCTGAGAAAATGGCAGGTTTAATATACAGCAAAAATTCACATTCTAAGTTCTACTTATATAGGTGTATTTGCTGAGTATGATGTTGGAATTTCATTTTTATTTATAGATGGGAAGATAGAAATGAAAGGCCTAAACTCCATGGCATCTCATTGAGCACGAGACCAAACACTGCAACTACAATATATTAGCCAATAGATGTTTGCTTAGCCGTTGCTATATGAGAATAATCTTTCTTCTTTCATACATAAGAGACAAAACCCCGTCTCTACAAAAAATACAAAAATTAGCCAGGTGTGGTGGCACGCACCTGTAATCCCATAATTGTTAGCTTTCATAAATGTTAGCTATTCTTAAATAAATGTTAGCTATTCAGGCTTCATAAGAGAATACTCATGGACATTATACTTAGTGTCTATTTAGATTACTCACTTTGCATGCTGTAATTACTGTAGTTTGGACTCTGAACTTTAAGGTAGAAACTTATCAGATTGAAGAGTCCGAAATCTTAGATTTTTTTTTTTTTTTTTTTTTTTTTGAGACAGAGTCTTGCTCTGTCACCCAGGCTGGAGTGCAGTGGCATGATCTTGGCTCACTGCAAACTCTGCATCCCGGGTTCATGCCATTGTCTTGCCTCAGCCTCCCGAGTAGCTGGGACTACAGGCGCCCACCACCACGCCCAGCTAATTTTTTGTATTTTTTAGTAGAGATGGGGTTTCACCGTGTTAGCCAGGGTGGTCTCGATCTCCTGACCTCATGATCCGCCCGCCTCGGCCTCCCAAAGTGCTGGGATTACAGGTGTGAGCCACAGCGCCTGGCCTTTTTTTTTTTTTTTCAGAGACAGTCTCATTCTGTTGCCCAGGCTGGAGTGCAGTGGTGGGCTCAGATGATCCTCCCAACCTCAGCCTCCCAAGCAACTGGTGCTACAGGTGAACACCACCATGCTCAGCTGATTTAAAAAAAAAAAAAAAAGCTAATTAAAAAAAAAAAGACATATATATATTTAGCTTCCCATTGTCCAAACCCATATAATTATTTGCAAAAACGGGGTCTTTCTGTGTAGTCCAGGCTGGTCTCCCTATGTTTCCCAGGCTGGTCTTGAACTCCTGGGCTCAAGTAATCCTCCTGCCTTGGCCTCCCAAAGTGTTGGGATTACAGGAGTGAGCCACCGTACACAGCTTAGATTTTTTTTCAAACACTCAAGAGTTTAATTGTGTGACTTCAGTTCATGAGCCCAGAGATGTTTCACATTTTTTAGTAGCTTAATTTATATACATTGCTTTCATGTGTAATTATCTAGAGCTATTAGAACAAGTAACTAGAAAGTAACTGGCCAGGCATGGTGGCTAACACCTGTAATCCCAGCACTTTGGGAGGCCAAGGCGGGCAGATCACTTGAGTTAAGGAGTTCGAGACCAGCTGGCCAACATGGTGAAACCCCGTCTCTACTAAAAAATACAAAAATTAGCTGGGCGTGGTGGCGCACTCCTGTAGTCCCAGCTACTCGGGAGGCTGAGGCATGAGAATTGCTTGAACTCAGGAGGCGGAGGTTGCAGTGAGCCAAGATCACGCCACTGCACTTCAGCCTGGCAACAGAGCAACAGAGCAAGACTATATTTAAAAAAAAAAATACAAAAAAAAGTGCCTGGTCCTTATGGCCAAAATTTGTACACATTGCATTGTTTGCTAGGTAGTCTTTTGTGATTCATTTAAAATTTCCAAAAGCAGTTCCAGATTACATAGAAAGAAAATAGCTGGGTCTGGGCACGGTGGCTCACGCTTGTAATTCCAGCACTTTGGGAGGCCGAGGCAGGCGGATCACCTCAGATCGGGAGTTCAAGACCAGCCTGACCAACATGGAGAAACCCTGTCTCTCCTAAAAATACAAAAAATTAGCCAGGTGTGGTGGTGCATGCCTGTAATCCCAGCTACTCGGGAGACTGAGGCGGGAGAATGGCTTGGACCTGGGAGGTGGAGGTTGCGGTGAGCTGAGATCGTGCCATTGCACTCCAGCCTAGAGAACAAGAGCGAAACTCCATCTCAAAAAAAAAAGAAAAGAAAATAGCTGATTTACTGTGTTAATAATATAGCCCAGCCTGGGCAACATAGGGAGACCCCGTCTCTACAAAAAATTTTAAAAATGAGCCATGTGTGGTGGTGCACACCTGTAATCCCAGTTACTCTGGACAGGGCTAAGTTGGGAGGATCGCTTGAGCCCAGGAGGTTGAGGCTGCAGTGAGCCACGATCATGCCACTGCAAACTGCACTCCAAGCTCAGTGACAGAGCAAGACCCTATTTTCTTTAAAATTTGTTTTTTGACATTTTGGGCTAGATGATATATATTGTTAAAATTTGTTCTTATCGAAGCAGTTTCAAAGTATTTAATATGAACCATGTATATTTTTTATTACTTTTCTAATATTTTGTTGATATTTTTCTACATAGTTGCCCTCGGACCAGAAAGAAGAAAATCTGACTCAGGAGTTATGTTGCCAACGCTCAGGGTCTCTCTTATTCAGGACATGAGGTATTTGTTATTAATACATGTGTTAGCATGTGGTGATAACTTTGAAGTATTTTGTGGCTTTTAACTAAATTGCTCAAATGATTATGGCTGTGTTTATTTTTGGCTTATGTATTCTGAAGAAAGCATTTTTTATGATTTCATTTATCTTATTTTTATACCATTGTAGTGTTTCCTGACATTAAATCCAAATGGAAGATGCAGCTGAGAAGAGTTTTAAAGCATCTCTAAATTTTTTTATTTTATTTTACTTTTGCGACAGGGTCTTGCTTTGTCACCCAGGCTGGAATTCGGTGGTGCAATCACCACTCCCTGCAGCCTCAACTTCCCAGGCTCAAGCAATCCTTCTGCCTCAGCCTCCCAAGTCGCTAGAATTACAGGCACCTGCCACCATACCCAGCTAATTTTTTTGATTTTTAGTAGAGACAGGGGCTTTTTTTTTTTTTTTGAGATGGCGTCTCATTCTGTTGCCCAGGCTGGAGTGCAGTGTCGTGATCTCAGCTCACTGCAACCTCTGTCTCCCGGGTTCAAGCAATTCTTCTGCCTCAGCCTCCTGAGTAGCACAGGCATGCGCCACCATTCCTGGCGAATTTTTTGTATTTTTAGTAGCGACAGGGTTTTACCATGTTAGCCAGGATGGTCTCGATCTGACCTCATGATCCACCTGCCTCAGCCGTCCAAAGTGCTGGGATTACAGGCGCGAGCCACTGTGCCCGGCCGAGATGGGGTCTTAAATTGCCCAGGCTGGCCTCAAACTCCTGGGCTCAAGTGATTCTCCCGCCTCGGCCTCCCAAAGGGCTGGGATTACAGACGTGAGCCATTGTGCCCGTCCTAAACTATTTTATAGCTTCTTTTGTTCAGTTTTTAAAACTCCCTTAAACACCTCTGCCCACCGAAGAAGGTACAGAAGAAAAATTCTGCAAATAATGGCAGGATATGTGGCAGAACAATTGCAATCAGGTAGATTTAGTTTGAAGCAAATACATATCTGAGAATCATCACTTGGAATTACTGTTAAGAAATCTTTAGAAGACTTCAAGATATCTAACACAGATTTATTGAATGAGGAAGGCAGAGGCTTTTATCTTTTAAATATTTTAGGTACAATACTTAGTCAACTCTTACAATGTATGGGTTTAAAGCAGTGTCATAAGATCCAAGTGCAGTGGGTCATGCACTTTGGGAGGCTGAGGGAAGAGGATCATTTGAGACCAAGAGATTGAGACCAGCCTGGGCAACATAGCAAGACCCTGTATTTTAAAATATTTAAAATAATTAAACAATTAAAGATTATCAATGCAGTCTGGCTTATTTTCTCTAATGCCATAGAAAGTAAGATTTCATATTTTCCATATGTTGTCCAGTGCAACTTGAAAAGTAATTCAGTGGATTAAAGTTGTGACTGATATTTAATTATGCTATAGAACAGTTATTTTGAAAAGAAACTTGAGTATTCACCCTGTTTCATTACTTTTTTTGGAGCATCAGGAATAACCAAATTCTTATTTACAGATATCTATGAGTCTGCCACAAGGACATAATAAAGCCTGAAAGAGTGAATAAGTGTTAAATGCTTTATCTTACCACATTGTCCGTGTGCTTGTGTTGTAATGGCAATTATGATGTGAGACTAACTTCATGATTCAGATGGAACCTTCAAAGATTTAATCAACATCAATTGTATATTATCCATTGCTCCCTTTAAGTATAAACCTTTCTGTGCCCAGTACTGTTCACTCTTTACTTCTTTTCTAGTCAGGGTTATCCTTAAAATCTACATCTTTGCTGTTGCCACTATTCTTTAGGCATATTCAAAACATGAGTGAGATCAAGACTGATGTTGGACGAGCTCGGGCGTGGATAAGACTGTCTCTAGAAAAGAAGCTCTTGTCCCAGCATCTTAAGCAGTTGCTTTCTAACCAACCACTCACCAAGTAAGATACCATCTTTGATACATTTCTGTTTCTATAATCCATGTGCATACAAAACAAGTTGCATAAACTGACAAACTGGCTTCTTCAGTATGAAGTGCTGTATCCTGTGCACATGCATTCTTCTTTATCTAACAGGCGTGTGCTTTGAAAACTGTTTTGATGTAATACTTGATCGTTTTGGGGGGACACACCAAATTTAACAGCCAAAGGCCAGATTGCAGTTGGGCATGGTGGCCATTGCCTGTAATCCTAACATTTTGGGAGGCCAAGGTGGGAGGATCACTTGAGTCCAGGAATTCAAGACCAGCCTGGGTAACATGGTGAAACCCCGTCTCTACAAAAAATAAGTTAGCAGGGCATGGTGCCGCACACCTGTAGTCATGGCTATTCAGGAGGCTGAGGCAGGAGAATCACTTGAACTTGGGAGGTGGAGGTTGCAGTGAGCTGAGATCATGTCACTGCGCTCCAGTCTGGGCGACAGTGCAAGACCATCTCAAAAAAAAAAGGCCGGATTGCTCTGCCAGAATCAGGCAAAAAGCTGGCTAGTTCACACAAGCTGACAGTAACATCCAAAAGATCGGATGAATTTATATAAACCTTATATTATTTTGTATAAACCTTATATTGTAAAACCTGTATACAGGTTGTATACAGATAAAACCTGGAGTAAAAAAAGAAAGAAATAATAAAGTTCTGTGAGGAGGTCCCAGTAAAGGGCTTCTTCTGAGAGCCTTGCATTCACTAGTTTAGGGCAAGGGTTCCCAGCCCTTGGGCCATGGACCAGTACTGGTCTGTGGTCTGTTAGGAACCAGGGCTGCACAGCAGGAGATGAGCCGAGGGCAAGCAAGCATTACCGCCTAAGCTCCGCCTCCTGTCAGATCAGCAGCATTAGATTCTCAAAGGAGCATAAACCCTATTGTGAACTGCGCATGTGAGGGATCTAGGTTATGTGCTCCTTATGAGACTCTAATGACTGATGATATGAGGTGCAACAATTTTATTCTGAATCCACCTCCCCCTCCCCAGCCCCTGCGACAGCCATGGGAACATTATCTTCCATGAAACAGGTCCCTGGCGCCAAAAAGGTTGGGAACCACTGGTTTAGAGCCGGGAAACCAGTCAAGTACATGTCAATTAATTGTTAACTTTTAATTTCTTCTGTTTACTCTATCAAGAAACCCTCTTCGAGGTCAGGTGCAGTGGCTCACACCTGTAATCCCAACACTTTGGGAGGCCAAGGTGGGCAGATCACTTGAGGTCAGGAGTTCGAGACCAGCCTGGCCAACATGGCACAACCCTGTCTCTACAAAAAATAAAAAAATTAACCGGGCATGGTGGCAGGCACCTGTAATCCCAGCTACTTGGAGGCTGAATCAGGAGAATCATTTGAGCCAGTATTGGGCCACTGCACTCCAGCTTGGGCAACAGAGCGAGACCCTGTCTCAAAAAACAAAAACAAAAAAAAGAAGCTGTCTTGGATGAAATATATTGCCCTTATATTTACATTAGTGCTAATTTGAAGGCTAAGGACTTTGACTTCTAAGGAGCAAAGTTAGGCAGAGAATTCAACAAAGACCTCAAACAAGATAGCCTATTAGAGTTCCAGTGCTTTTTGTAGTTTTGTATTTGTATATATCACACTTGGATTACATACCCCCTGGAGCATTTTCAGATGAGTTTTAATGTCCAAACAGTAGGTTTGATAAAGCATGAAGTGTTGCATATAGCCTGTGAATCTGACCTTGTTTTCTTAAAACTGGCGTGGTTTTTTTTTCCAATTACAAAAAGTTATTGGCTGGGCGCAGTGGCTCACACCTGTAATCCCAGCACTTTGGGAGGCCGAGGCAGGCAGATCATGAGGTCAGGAGATCGAGACCATCCTGGCTAACATGGTGAAACCCCGTCTCTACTAAAAATACAAAAATTAGCTGGGTGTCGTGGCGCATGCCTATAATCCCAGCTACTTGGGAGGCAGAGGCAGGAGAATCACTTGAACCCAGGAGGCGGAAGTTGCAGTGAGCCGAGATCGCGCCACTGCACTCCATCCAGCCTGGTAACAAAGCGAGACTCTGTCTCAAAAAAAAAAAAAAAAAAAAAAAGGCCGGGCGTGTTGGCTCATGGCTGTAATCCTACAGTTTGGGAGGCCGAGGCGGGTGGATCACCAGAGATCAGGAGTTCGAGACTAGCCTGACCAACGTAGAGAAACCCCATCTCTACTAAAAATACAAAATTAGCCAGGCGTGGTGGCACATGCCTGTAATCCCAGCTACTTGGAGGCTGAGGCAGGAGAATCGCTTGAGCCTGGGAGACGAGAGGTTGCGGTGAGCCAAGATCGTGCCATTGCACTCTAGCCTGGGCAATAAGAGCAAAACTGTCTCAAAAAAAAAAAAAAAAAGTGATTTATGCTCATAGTGGCCAAAGTACAAAGAGGAAAATGATAATCACTTACAATCCTGCTATATAAAGAACACTAAGTATTTCACATTTTCTTCTGTACTTTTCTTCTATGCATGTTCTCTTATTAAGATACACTATATGTGCGATTCAATATCATCCTTTTTATTAGCTTAACAGTGTACCATAAACATTTCACCGTATCAGAAGAGTTTAAAATCTGAAGTCTGAATGCTTGTGTTCAAATATTGCCTTCTCTAGTTAGTGTTTGAATGACCTCGGACAAAATATTTAACTTTCCTGTATCTCTCTTTTCCCCATCTGTAAAATGACACTAGGCTGGGTGTGGTGGCTCACTCCTGTAATCCCAGCACTTTGAGAGGCCAAAGTGGGAGGATTGCTTGAGCCTGGGAGTTCAAGACCAGCCTGGGCAATATAGTGAGACCCCATCTCTACTAAAAATAAAAAATTAGTTGAGTGTGGTAGCGTGCACCTGTGGTCCCAGCAGCTTGGGAGGCTGAGGTGGGAGGCACACTCAAGCCCAGGAGGTCAAGGCTGCAGCGAGCTGTTACTGCATCGCTGCACTCCAGCAACCTGGGTTATAGAACGAGACCTCATCTCAAGAAAAATAAATAAATAAATAAATAATAAAAAGGCACTAATAGACTTACCTCATAGAGTGAGAATTAAATGTATTAATACCTATAAAACACTTGGGAAAGTGCTTAAATGTAAGTGTTTAATGAAATCTTTGCCCCATTTCATCTGTTTCTTTAGGACTGAATCCTAAAAGTAAAATTGATGAGTCAAGGGGTATGATTGGTTTAAAGTAATTGTTACCTGAATTGCTTTCCTGAAATTTTCAGTCTCACCAACTGTGAGAATGGCATTCATTTCTTCCTTGTCAACACTGGTCATCACTTTTAAGTCTTTATTAGTTTGATAGATAAAATAGATGCATTTTTTCCTTAATTATTAGGTTAAAAGTGTTTTATTAACTGTTTATATATCCATTTTTATGAATTGAAATAGAATGAATCTATTTTTTCAAGATTAAAGGTGTTTGTCTAAGAGGAGCTATTTATTTTTAGTCAAGGCTTAATGAGGGCCAGCCCCAGTGGCTCATGCCTATAATCCCAACATTTTGGGAGACTGAGGCAGGAGGATTTCTTGAGTCCAAGAGTTCAAGACCAGCCTGGGCAATATAGCGAGACCCCATCCTGGAAAAAAGACATAATGGGAAAGAAACAAAAGAAAAAAAATGGCCGGGCATGGTGGCTCATGCCTGTAATCCCAGCACTTTGGGAGGCCGAGGCAGATGGATCACCTGAGGTCAGGAGTTGGAGACCAGCCTGGCCAACATGGTGAAACCCCATCCCTACTAAAAATACAAAAATTAGCCTGGCGTGGTGGCACATGCCTGTAATCCCAGCTACTCATGAGGCTGAGGCAGGAGAATCACTTGAACCCAGGAGGCAGAGTTTGCAGTGAGCTGAGATTGCACCATTGCACTCCAGCCTGGGCAACAAGAGAGAAACTCTGTTTAAAAAAAAAAAAAAAAAAAAAAGACATAATGAAAAGTACATGATACTACTGTCTTGGTTTTTTTTTTTTTTCTTTGATACTACTGTCTTGTGCTTGTCTTACCCTTTCCTAGGAAGCTTTATAAGCGATATGCTTTTCTACGTTGCGAAGAAGAAAGAGAGCAGTTTCTTTACCACCTTCTTTCTCTCAATGCTGTGGACTATTTCTGCTTCACCAGTGTGTTCACCACTATCAGTAAGTCTAGAGAATTGACCGTTAAGGGTTACTGAGGTGACCAATGCAATAAAAGCATTTATATTTTTTAAAGCAAGATATGCCATAGTACATGTGACATTGTGACATACGCCCAGGTCTCTGTTTAGGAGTAAAGGATATTCCCCAAATGCTAAGAGTGCTACAGGAAACCCTTGGCTGTCAGGCTTTAGAGAACGCCTTACTGAAGAAAAGTACCTCACTGGAGATGATACCTTCTGTCAGTTCCAGCCAGCATCCCATGACTGAACAAAGGGCTGTCCCGGAGCTCACCATGGGGGTTAGATAGATGAGGATTTCATTGAGACTGCATCGAAGCTTAACATCTTGCTTAACCAATCCTGCTTTCCTTCTCACATGTTGGTCCCAGGAGCAGCATTGTCCATGCTAATTTCTGACTCAGAGATTTCTTCCCAAGAAACCCAGTCTTTGATAGGAAATGTTACCTACAATAGATGAGAAAAGGAATGTTTTATTAAGTAAATATTTCAATATCTTAACGAAAACACATAAAATCAAAGTATCTGTGTGTTAATAATAAACTTATGCAATTGGACATCATTCAACTTTGGAAGGAAATGCTGATTGGAGAATTTTTTTTTTTTTTTTTTTTTTTTTTTGATAGAGTCTCACTCCATCACCCAGGCTGGAGTGCAGTGGCACGATCTCAGCTCACCGCAGCCTCCACCTCCTGGGTTCAAGGAATTCTTGTGCCTCAGCCTCCTGAGTAGCTGGAATTACAGGCACGCCCCACCACACCCGGCTAATTTTTGTATTTTTAGTAGAGATGGGGTTTCACCATGTTGGCCAGGCTGGTCTCGAACTCCTGACCTCAAGTGACCCACCTGCCTCAGCCTCCCAAAGTGCTGGGATTACAGGCATGAGCCACCACGCTGGACCTGGAGATTTTGTTGTTTTTGTTGTTGTTATTGTTTTTGGTTTTTTTGAGATGGTGTCTGGCTCTGTCACCTAGGCTGGAGTGCAGTGGTGGAATCTCAGCTCACTGCAACCTCCGTCCCCTGGGATCAAGCGATTCTCCTGCCTTAGCCTCCCAAATCACACATCTGTATATAGGCATATGTCACCATGCCCGGCTAATTTTTGTGTTTTTAGTGGAGACAGGGTTTCACCATGTTGGCCAGGCTGGTCTCAAACTCCTGACCTCAGGTGATCCATCCGCCTCAACCTCCCAATGTGCTAGGATTACAGGTGTGAGCCACTGAGCCTGTCCAAGAGATGTATTTTTTATAGAAAGCCGAATGATAGCATTTATTCTTTCCTTCATTGCTAATTCTTATTTGCAGTGGGTCCTCTTCCTTACTTTGGAGAATTTTTACTTGTATCAATTAGGAATTGCATTTAGCTGCAAGTATCAGAAACTTGAAAACCAGTGGTTTACAGCATAGTAATTTCACTTACATAATAAAGGTCTCAAAGTAGGCAGTGGGCAGTGCTGTCACGGACCCAGGCTCATTGTCTTTTTCCTGTTAGACATGCTCTGTGTGTGCTAGTTACCTCATGGTTTCAACATGGCTGTTCTCAGCATACCTTCCAGCAGGAAGGAGAGAGTGCCAAGGAGGGGCAGGATCTGTGCTAGAAAGACATAATTTTCCAAAAAATCTCAATAAATATCACTAACATTTCACTGGCCAGAATTGTGTAGGTTTTGGCTTTCCAGTCTCTGGTAACGGAAGACAAAGGAAAAGGGAATTGGAATGGGGATTAGGCCATCCTGTAATGCCTGTCAAGTTACTATTCGTTGATTAGGTTACTGCAGGTGTAAGAAACTAAAAAGTTATATACAGTTTTAAAATTGGGCCGGGCGCGGTGGCTCAAGCCTGTAATCCCAGCGCTTTGGGAGGCCAAGGCAGTTGGATCACAAGGGCAGGGGTTAGAGACCAGCCTGACCAACATGGTGAAACCCCGTCTCTACTAAAAATACAAAAATTAGCTGGGTGTGGTGGTGGGCGCCTGTAATCCCAGCTACTCAGGAGGCTGAGGTAGGAGAATTGCTTGAACCCGGGAGGCGGAGGTTGCAGTCAGCCGAGATTGCGCCACTGCACTCCAGCCTGGGCGACAGAGCGAGACTCCGTCTCAAAATAAATAAATAAATAAATTAATTAATTAATTTAATTAAATCGAAGAGGCCAGGCACAGTGGCTCACACCTGTAATGCCAGCACCTTGGGAGGCCAAGGCGGGTGGATCACATGAGGTCAGGAGTTCGAGACTGACGTGGCCAACATGGTGAAACCTCATCTCTACCAAAAAATACAAAAATTAGCCGGACGTGGTGGCGCTTGCTTTAGTCCCACCTACTCAGGAGGCTGATGTGGGAGAATCACTTGAACCCGGGAGGCAGAGGTTGCAGTGAGCCAAGATCACACCACTGCCCTCCAGCCTGGGTGACAGGTTGAGACTGTCTCTAAATAAGTAAGAAGTAGTAGCAGTAGAGGATTCCTAAAATCCTCCTTATATCTGTAGATTTCTCTTCATCTGAGTAACTCTTTCAATTTGAGGAATTCTTCATGAAAGAAATTTTTAAATTTAATCATATTGCTTTTTCATACTTAAACTATGAAATCACTGTTGTGCATCTGTGGGCCTTTTGCAGCCACAGAACTGCTGACCCTAAACATGCCTTTTTCTGCAGATTTTCTTAGCAGTGCAAGAAATGAGAAAAGCCTCTGGCACCTAAAATAAAGTCTTAACACTAACCTCTTCTGCTTTCAGTTTCAAAACCCATTTGATTCTGATGATTACTAAACCGTGAATATATGGCCTTTTCTCTGACATTTTCCTATCCTAAAGCCAAAATAAAAGGACACAAAGGGAGACTCTTCACCTAACATAAAGAAAGTCTTTTATGTAAAATTAGGGAAATGAACCATTTATCTCATTTGTTTTCCTCATCTAAGAGTGCACTGAACCATGAGCTCATATTGTGAGGCTATATCTAGGCACCTTCTTTAGTAAATGTTTTTCATCCTACTTGTAGATCTTTCACGGAGGGCTTCTAACACCCCCTCTTATGATCAAATGGGCAGAAATCCCAAGGATAACAACAAATATTGATTCTACCCTACTTAAAAAAAAAAATGGCTGGGCATGGTGGCTCACACCTGTAATCCTAGCACTTTTGGAGGCCGAGGTGGCGGATCACCTGAGGTCAGGAGGTCAAGACCAGCCTGGCCAACATGGGGAAACCCTGTCTCTACTAAAAGTACAAAAATTAGCTGGGCATGGTGGGCGCACACCTGTAATCCCAGCTACTCCAGAGACTGAGGTAGGAGAATCGCTTGAACCCGGGAGGCGGAGGTTGCAGTGAGCTGAAATCGCCCCACTGCACTCGAGCCTGGGCATCAGAACAAGACTTCTTCTCAAAAAATAAATAAATAGTGGCCAGGTGCGATGGCTCACACCTGTAATCCCAGCACTTTGGGAGGCCTTGGTGGGTGAATCACGTGGTCAGGAGTTCAAGACCAGCCTGGCCAAGATGATAAAACCCCGTCTCTGCTAAAAGTACAAAAATTAGCTGGGCACGGTGGCAAGCCCCCGTAATCCCAACTACTTGGGAGGCTAAGGCAGGAGAATCACTTGAACCCGGGCGGCAGAGGTTGCAGTGAGCTGAGATTGCACCACTGCACTCCAGCCTGGGAGATAGAGTGAAACTCTGCCTCAAAAATACATACATACATACATACATACATACATACATACATACATACATACATGGCAGGTGGCTCATGCCGGTAGTCTTAACACTTTGGGAGGCCAAGGCAGGCAGATCTCTTGAGCTTAGGAGTTTGAGACCAGCCTGGGCAACATGGCAAAACCCTGCCTCTACTAAAACTACAAAAAAATAGCTGGGCGTAGTGGTGCACACCTCTGGTCCCAGCTACTGGGGAGGCCGAGGTGGGAGGATCACTTGAGCCCAGGAGGTGGAGATTGCAGTAAGCTTGAGATCGTGCCACTGCACTCTACCCTGGGTGACAGAGCGAGACCGTGTCTCAAAAAAAAAAAACTTTAAAATTTTACAATCAGGCCAGGTGCAGTGGCTCATGCCTGGAGTTCCAGCACTTTGAGAGGCCAAGGCAAAAAGATCGCTTGAGTCCAGTTCAAGACTAGCCTGGGCAAAATAGTGACATGCTGTCTCAACAAAAGAACAATTAAAAAGTTAGCTAGGGGCCGGGCACGGTGGCTCATGCCTGTAATCCCAGCACTTTGGGAGGCCGAGGTGAGCAGATCACCTGAGGTCAGGAGTTCGAGACCATCCTGGTCAACATGGTGAAACCGCATCTCTACTAAAAATACAAAAAATAGCTGGCCGTGGTGGTGTGCAGTTGTAATCCCAGCTACTCAGGAGGCTGAGGCAGGAGAATCGCTTGAGCCCGGGAGGCAGAGGTTGCAGTGAGCCGAGATCATGCCATTGCACTCCAGCCTGGGCCACAAGAGCAAAACTCTGTCTCAAAAAAAAAAAAAAAAAGCTAGAGGTCGGACGCGGTGGCTTATGCCTGGAATCCCAACACTTTGGGAGGTTGAGGCCGGTGGATCACCTGAGTTCAGGAGTTCGAGACCAGCCTGGCCAATATGTCAAAACCCCTTCTCTACTAAAAGTACAAAAATTAGCTGGGCGAGGTGGCAGACGCCTGTAATCCCAGCTACTTGGGAGGCCGAGGCTGGAGAATCACTTGAATCCAGGAGGCAGAGGTTGCAGTGAGCCAAGAATGTGCCACTACACTCCAGCCTGAGCGACAAGAGTGAAACTCTAAATAAATAAAGTTAGCCAGGTGTGGTAGCGTGCACCTGTAGTCCCAACTGCTGGGGAGGCTGAGATGGGAGGATTGCTTGAGCCCCAGAGATCAGGGCTGCAGTGAACACTGATTGGGCTGCTGCACTTCAGACTGGGCGACAGAGCTACATCCTGTCTCTAGAAAACCAACAAACAAAAAACCAGAAATGTATGGCTGTGATGGACAAAAATGCTTATGTGCTTAAACCATCTGCCCCCTTTTTGTTTTGAGATAGGGTCTCGCTGTGTTGCCCAGGCTGGAGTGCAGTGGTGGGATCAGAGTTCACTGCATCCTTGACCTCCCTGGCTCAAGGGATCCCCCCTCCTCATCCTCCTGAGTAGCTGGGACTACAAGTGTGTACCACCAGACCTGGCTAATTATGTTTTTTATTTTGTATAGAGACAAGGTCTCACTTTGTTGCCCAGGCTGGTCATGAACTCCTGAGCGCAAGTGATCTGCCCACCTCAGCCTTCCAAGGTGCTAGGTAGGATTACAGACATGAGCCCCCGTGCCTGGCCCTGTCTGCACTTTTTTTTTTTTTTTTTTTTTTTTTTTGGAGATGGAGTTTCACTCCTGTTGCCCAGGCTGGAGTGCAATGGCACAATCTCGGCTCGCTGCAACCTCTGCCTCCCGGGTTCAAGCGATTCTCCTGCCTCAGCCTCCTGAGTAGCTGGGATTACAGGTGTGTGCCACCACACCTGGCTAATTTTTGTATTTTTAGTAGAGACGGGGTTTCACCGTGTTGGTCAGCCTGGTCTCAAGCTCCTGACCTTGTGATCCACCCACCTCGGCCTCCCAAAGTGCTAGGATTACAGGCCACCACATCCAGCCGTTTTCTTTTTTCTTTCTTTTTTTTTTCTGAGGCAGAGTCTCACTCTGTTGCCCAGGCTGGAATGCAGTGGTGCAATCTCAGCTCACTGCAACCTCTGCCTCCCGGGTTCAAGTGATTCTCCTGCCTGAGCTTCCCAAGTAGCTGGGATTTCAGGCGCCTGCCACCACACCCGGCTAATTTTTGTACTGTTAGTAGAGACGGGGTTTTGCCATGTTGGCAAAAAAAAAAAAGAAAAAAAAAGAAGGGAGGACATGCATAACATCTAACCTCTCGTGCTTCCACATTTGAGCAAAGGACAGTGATAGGGCAGTGACATCTAGTGGTCTGTCTGTGGAAGAGCCTCCCTGGGCTCCTCTTGCGTGTGAGTCACCTTAATAGCTTTCAAAGTTGTGGTTTATAGACTTCACGATATGTCCAGAGTGGAGGTTCCATTGTTTATTATTTGTGGTTTTTGCATATTGTTCTGTAAACTTGGGACAGGAAAGTTCTGAAATGCAGTGCTTTAAAGCATTGCCCAAGAAACTCAATACTGTCCAAGAAGTCATCCACCCCTCTTTTTATATAAAACCATATCAGTAATCATGTTCATTTCTATTCAATTTTGTTACAAAATTAATTTTTAAGAAAATTTAAGCAATGAAAACACAATATACACAGTCAGTGTTCACATCTTTAGGTATTCTCGTGCTAATGCTTGAGATTGTTCATACGTTTAATGTTGATATATGCATCATACATACATGATGATATACATGCTGTGAAAACCACTGCTACGAGTATTGAGACTTCTGGTTTGCAAACTAGATCTCATCTTTCTAGACTGAAAGGTTATGATCTCAACTTTTCGTATAAGTACATCTTGATAGCTCATAAAAAGCAAATTATCAATGAAAACCAACAAGAGTTCTTAATATATGTTTTGTTATAAGGAGAATTTTATTCCCGCTTTTTAATTAATTTCTGCATTTTTCTTTCAGTGATTCCGTATAGGTCAGTGATCATCCCAATCAAAAAGCTGAGCAATGCAATAATCACATCAAACCCTTGGATCTGTGTATCAGGAGAGCTGGGAGACACAGGAGTAATGCAGATTCCCAAAAACCTCCTCGAAATGACCTTTGAGGTAGGTTCAGCTAATACCTTTCCTAGAAGAATGTATCACGTGTAGTTTTACAGATGATTCTGTCTGGCTTTTTCATTTTTCCTTGAATCAAATAAAATAGAGGAACACTCAAAGCGTGCAGGATCATTTTTGTGATTATATGTCTAAAGTTGTCTTAAGCAGCTTATATACTAATTTGTTTTGCATTTTCATTGTTAAGCTCTATTTTTCACTTGTAATGATGTGCTTTGGGGCTTTCTAGGTCTTCTCCTACTATTTTCAGGGTCTAGCACAGATTCTAGCAAGCAGGAAATATTCAAATAAATGTTTTCCCCGCGGTGGTTCTCCTCCCTACTGTAAAATGTTTTCTGCCCAAACCTGGTCATCCTTTGGCAAAAGGACAGGAGAGCTGATATTCATGCTTATGGATTTTTTTTTTTTTTTTTTTGAGACGGAATCTTGCTCTTTCGCCCAGGCTGTGCAGTGGTGTGATCTTCACTCGTTGCAACCTCCACCTCCTGGGTTCAAGCATCTGCTTACTGGTTTTAGACCACATGGTGACATTTATAGAATGATTCTATAAAAATGCCTTTTGGCCAGGCGCAGTGACTCATGCCTATAATCTCAACACTTTGGGAGACCAAGGTGAGCAGATTGCTTGAGCCCAGGAGTTTGAGACGACCAGCCTGGGCAACATGGTGAGACTCCATCTCTACAAAAAATACAAAAATTAGCTGGGCATGGTGGCATGCACCTGTAGTCTGGGTACTTGCAAGGCTGAGGTCACTTGAGCCCAGGAGACAGAGGTTGCAGTGAGCCAGGATTGTGCCACTGCACTCCAGCCTGGGTGACAGAGTGAGACTGTGTCTCAAAAAACAAAACAAAACAAACAGCCACCTTTTAATATTGTAGTCAATTTTCAGTCTTACTTGGTGAAATAGTTCCATGGGGTTAAGCCTGTACACAGGTTGATCTTGGTGGAGGAAGAGGACAAATAATTGTTGTGTTTGAGGAAGGAAATGGTACGAACTGAATGTCCCATTCTCATGTTCCTTGGGGTCTCGAAATAGCAGTTTCCACTTAGAGTCATGATGCCCTCCCGCCCCCAGGAGCCCAGTTTGGCCTTATCCATGCAGTAGACTCAAAGCCACCTGTATATAAAATATTAAAACCCTTGGCTTTTCTTCATCTAACAATAATGAAAGTACATTAAAACCCCCATCATTGCCATTTCTAAGCTGTCTCTCTCATGTCTACCTACTTCTTTCCATCTCTGCTGCACAACTAATTCAAGATGCCATCATCCCTAAGTTAGAGCATGGTGATGCCTTCTCACTGAGATACAAAGAATAAAGTGCTTTAAGAACTCGTAGCTCTGGCCGGGCCAGTGGCTCACGCCTGTAATCCCAGCACTTTGGGAGGCCGAGGCAGGCGGATCACCTGAGGTCGGGAGTCTGAGGCCAGCCTGACCAAAATGAAGAAACCCCCTCTCTACTAAAAACACAAAAATTAGCCGGGCATGGTGGCACATGCCTGTAATCCCAGCTTCTCGGGAGGCTGAGGCAGGAGAATCGCTTGAATCCGGGAGGCGGAGGTTGTGGTGAGCGGAGATTGCACCATTGCACTCCAGCCTGGGCAACGAGAGCGAAACTCTGTCTAAAAAAAAAACAAAAAAAAAAAACTCGTAGCTCTAATGGGTACAAAAAAATAGAGTGAATAAGACCTAGTATTTGCTAGCACAGCAGGGTGACTATAGTCAACAATAATTTAACTGTACATTTTAAAATAACTAAAAGTATAATTGGATTGTCACACAAATGATAAATGTTTGAGGTGACAGACACCCCATTTACCCTGATACAGTTATTAGGCATTGCATGCCTATATCAAAATATCTCAATTAATCCATAAATATACACATCTACTAGGTACCCATAAAAATTAAAAATTAAAATTAACCAAAAAAAAGAACTTACAATTCTGATGTTGTCATCCAGCACATTGTTGGGGTCAGTGATCTTTTCATTATCAGATTTTAGAAGTCAGAATTTAATTAGTATTCATTTTTGCTATTCCTATTATCATTGCTTTATTTTGTACTTGTCCACAAAGGACCAGTGAAGATAACTTATTGATAACTATGCCTTTTAAAAAATAGCTTCAAAGACTTCTAGTATATGAGGTCTGAGGTCAGTTCTGCCTTAGTATCTTATTGGAACAGAAAAATATCAACATCTCATGTACCCTATAAATATATATACCTACTGTGTACCCACAAAAAATTTTCTAAAAAAGAAAAGAATATCAGTGTCAGTGATTTTTAAAATCTATAATTGTTTTCTTGACCTCTTTGTAACAAAATCTAAATAGCATCTTTTTCCTGTTTTTAGAAATTATTCTTACCCTTCAAGGCACAAGTCACTGTCTGTGTTGTTTGTGGGTTCCCCAAGTAGAAGTAACTGTTCCTTCCCCAGCGTTCTTCTAGCACTTTTTACATCTCTAATCTAGCACTGTGTGCAGTGCCCCTCATTTGGTAGTTAATGTCCATATGTCTCCTATCTCATTATGTGGGAGCTCCCTGAGAGCAAGGAATATATGTGAATATATTTCTCTAGTGCATAGCTGAATACATTATGCAGGGTTTGTCTCTGCAGTTGTTAAATTAGACGGAACCAAAGTACCTGTAAAGCTGAGATGTAACAGGATGGGATTGGGTACTAAATAACCTAAGGTCCTGTCCCTACAGTGCCAGAACTTGGGGAAGCTGACCACTGTTCAGATTGGTCACGATAACTCAGGACTGTTAGCCAAATGGCTAGTGGATTGTGTCATGGTCAGAAATGAAATCACAGGACATACATACAGGTAAGTAAATGGCCTTGGGAACTCAGAATTCTTTGTTTTAAGACTCTTCAGGTAAGAAAAGGTTTAAGAATTGTAGGCCAGGCACAGTGGCTCACACCTATAATCCCAGCACTTTGAGAGGCCAAGGCGGGTGGATCACCTGAGGTCAGGAGTTTGAGACCAGCCTGACCAACATGGTGAAACCCCATCTCTACTAAATAAAAAAAAATTAGCAGGGCATGGTGGTGTACGCTTGTAATCCCAGCTACTTGGGAGGCTGAGGCAGGAGAATCGCTTGAACCCGGGAGGGGGAGATTTCAGTGAACCGAGATTGCACCGTTGCACTCCAGCCTGGGCAACAAGGTGAAACTCCATCTCAAAAAAAAAAAAAAAAAAAAAGAATTGTTTGAACTCTTCCACTGCCTTCTGAATTTTAGGGTTTTTTTTTCCAGGTGAGGGGGGCAATTTTTTTTTTGTTTATGTCATACAAAATTGCCCCCCAAAAAACTTTTTTTTTTCTTTCTCTCTCTTTTTTTTTTTTTTTTTTGGGCTGAGACAGAGTTTCACTCTTGTTGCCCAGGCTGGAGTGCAATGGCGCAATCTCGGCTCACTGCAACCTCTGCCTCCCAGGTTCAAGCAGTTCTCGTGCTTCAGCCTCCCGAGTAGCTGGGATTACAGGTACCTGCCACCACGCCCGGCTAATTTCTGTATTTTTAGTAGAGATGGGGTTTTGCTATGTTGGCCAGGCTGGTCTCAAACTCCTAACCTCAAGTGTTCCACCCACCTTGGCCTCCCAAAGTGCTGGGATTACAGGCATGAGCCACCATGCCCAGCCTCAAAAAACTTTTTAAAACAACAGATGTTTGCTGCTATTGCTTAGTCCACAAGTGTTGGAAAGATTAATATAACTCTCAGAAAAAAAAGAAAATAAAAAAGAAGCCTAAAATAATTTCAGTGGGAGGAAAAGATCTCTTGGATTCCACTAGTCACAGCCAACACTACTCTATGGAAACATTGTCCTCTTTTCTTCTGTGCCTGAACTCCCAAATTAATTTCTAGTTTGAAAATATTCTGACCGGGTGCAGTGGCTCACACCTGTAATCCACACACTTTGAGAGACTGAGATGGGGGGATCACTTGAGGCCAAGAGTTCAAGACCAGCCTGGGCAATGTAATGAGACCTCTCTATAAAAAACACAAAAATTAGCCAGGTGTGGTGGTGCACACCTGTAGTCTCAACTACTCAGGGGGCTGAGCGGGAACCCTGTCTCAAAAAAATAAAAAATAAAAAACTTGTTTTCTGTCCTACCAGATTCCCATGTGGGCGGTGGCTGGGGAAAGGCATTGATGATGGGAGCCTGGAGAGAATTCTTATTGGAGAGTTGATGACATCAGCATCAGATGAAGATCTAGTAAAGCAGTGTCGGACTCCACCCCAGCAGAAGTCACCCACCACGGCTAGGAGATTGAGCATCACTTCACTGACAGGAAAAAACAACAGTAAATTTATTTAAATTTTTCTTATGTGCTCCTATGATGTAGGCTTCATGTGACCATTTGATAGAAAACAGTTGTGTTAATGAATGTAGTGAGGAGATTTTAAAAAGAAGAAAGTTGAGGAAAATTCATAAATATTCAAAAGCCGGAAGAGTTTAGATGTTAAAATCTAATTTTTTAAAAAACTTGCATGCTCTGTTTTTATTAAGCTGTGGAAATATGAGTAAATATTTTACCTGAAACTTTTATTTTTTGAGACAAGGTTTCACTCTGTTACCCAGGCTAGAATGCAGTGGCACAGTCTCAGCTCACTGCAGCCTCTGCTTCCCGGGTTCAAATGATCCTCCCACCTCAGCTTTCCAAGTAGCTGGGACTACAGGCACACAACATCACACCTGGCTAATTTTTGTATTTTTTATAGACTGCCTTTCGCCATGTTGCCCAGGCTGGTCTTGAACTTCTGAGCTCAAGCGATCTGCCTGCCTCAGCCTCCCAAAGTGCTGGCATTACAGGCGTGTGCCACCAGACCTGGCCTTGCCTGAAACTTAAAAGAGAAATAATAATAGTTATATATTACAGTACTCCCAGATAGCCATATCTAGCCTTTTTTTTTTTTTTTTTTTTTTTTGTGAGATGGAATCTCACTCTGTCACCCAGGCTGGAGTGCAGTGGTGCGATCTCAGCTCACTGCAACCCCCGCCTCCCGGGTTCAAACGATTCTCCTGCCTCAGCCTCCCAAGTAGCTGGGATTACAGGTGCCCGCCACCACATCTGGCTAATTTTTTATATTTTTGGTAGAGACAAGGTTTCCCCATGTTGGCCAGGCTGGTCTCAATCTCTTGACCTTGAGATCCACCCGCCTTAGCTTCTGAAAGTGCTGGGATTAGAGGCATGAGCCACCACGCCCGCCCCAGTGTCTCTTATTCTAAGAGATTAAAATTTCCTTCTACCCCTTCTGTCCCAACTTTCTTCCTATAGTAAGGATGAAACAAAATACTATAAAGGAGTGAATTTTATGAATATTATACTATGTTCATGTGTCATTTTTAGTAATATAGTAAACTTCTAATTTATACTAATGTAGGCTTTAATAGACTAAATTACTAATGTAGGCTTTAATAGACTAAATAATGTCTCCCAAAAATATAAAATTCTAACCTCTAGAATCTGTAAATATTGCCTTATTTGGAAAAAGGATTTTTGCAGATGTGATAGGGATCTTGAAATAGGAGATTGTCCTGGATCACATCTACGTGGACCCTAAATGCCATCATATGTATTCTTTCCCAACACTTTGGGAGGCCGAAGTGGGCAGATCACTTGAGATCAGGAGTTTGAGGCCAACCTGGCCAACATAGCAAAACCCCGTCTCTACTAAAAAAACAAAAATTAACCAGGCATGTGGTGCATGCCTGTAATCCCAGCTCCTCAGGAGGCTGAGGCATGAGGATTGCTTGAACCCAGGAGGTAGAGGTGAGGTTGCAGTGAGCCGAGCTCATGCCACTGTATTCCAGCTTGAGTGACAGAGTGACACTCTGTCTTTTTTGGGGGGGTTTTTGGTGCCAATTTTAAATAGTTTTATTTAAAACATTGCATTTTCCACTTACAATACAGTGTTTATAAAGTGCAATGTTATTTCCTTCCCCTGTGCATATGTTCCACATTCAAGTATTGAGAAAAATATGGAATGCTTCACCAATTTGCTTGCCATCCTCGTGCAGGGGCCATGCTAATAATCTTCTCTGTATTGTTCCAGTTTTTTAGTATATGTGCTGCCGAAACAAGCATGACTCTGTCTTTAAAAAAAAAAAAAAAAACAACAACAACAACAACAAATGCTGGCCAGGCATTATGCTGAGGTGGGTGGATCACCTGAGGTCAGGAGTTCAAGACCAGCCTGACCAACATGGCGAAACCCCGTCTCTACTAAAAATACAAAAATTAGCTGGGCATGGTAGTGTGCACCTGTAATCCTAGCTACTTGGGAGGCTGAGACAGGAGAATTGCTTGAACCTGAGAGGTGGAGGTTGCAGTAAGCCAATATCGTGCCACTGCACTACATGCACTACAGCCTGGGCAACAGAGTGAGACTCCGTCTCAAAAAAAAAAAAAAAAAAAAAACAAGGAATGCCAACAGCCACCAGAAGCTAAAAGAGGCAAGGAAGGGATTTTCCCCTAGAATTTCAAGGGAATACAGCCCTGCTGACACCTTGCTTTTTTTTTTTTTTTTTTTTTGGCCCAGTGATAACTAAATTTTGACTTCTGGCCTGCAACAAAATGTATTTCTGTCACTCAAGCCACCAAGTTTTGTGAGTCTATTACAGCAGCCACAGAAGGCAGCCACAGAACATGAATATAGAGGCGGTATTTAGGGAAAAATCACAGAAGTTTATCAGTGAAGGGGCTTTTTATCTATAGATTATAACCACAAGTAGAATAACAAAGGTACCTAATAGGTCCTTAGTTTATTAACAAAGCAGTTTCCCTAGATTCTTCTATTAGTCTCTATCCATTTGCTAGCACATGATTGTGTATTAACTATGAGTGCAGTTTTTTTGTTTTTTTGTTTTGTTTTGTTTTGTTTTGACTGAGTTTTCGCTCTTGTTGGCCATGCTGGAGTGCAGTGGTGCGGTCTCATCTCACTGCAACCTCCGCTTCCCAGGTTCAAGCGATTCTCCTGCCTCAGCCTCCCAAATAGCTGGGATTACGGGCATGCACTGCCACGTGAGGCTAATTTTGTATTTTGGGTAGAGACGGGGTTTCACCATGTTGGCCAGGCTGGTGTTGAACTCCTGACCTCAGGTGATCCTCCCACCTTGACCTCCCAGAGTGCTGGGATTGCAGGCGTGAGCCACTGTGCCCAACCAATTTAAAGCACTTATAGCAACAAATATTGGTGAGGATGTGGAGTAACAGAAAGCTCATGCATTGCTAGTAGGAATACAAAATAACATCTTGGCATTTATAAAGATACATGCACACTTACCGTACGCTTGGCCCAGCAATCTTACTCCTAGATATGTACACAAAAGAAATGAATACATATATCTACACAGACTTGTACCCAGATATTTTGAGAGATTTATTCATAATAGCCAAAAATGGAAACAACCCCAATATACATCAACTGGTGAAAGGATAAACAGATAGTGATATATATCTGTTTATATATCAGATCTCTATAAAAGCAATATAATAATAGAAAGTAGATCATTGGTTGCCAGGAGTTAGGAGCTAAGGAAGGTAACTGAAAAGAGCACAGGATAGGCCGGGCACGGTGGCTCACGCCTGTAATACAGCACTTTGGGAGGCCAAGACGGGCGGATCACAAGGTCAGCAGATCGAGACCATCCTGGCTAACATGGTGAAACCCCGTCTCTACTAAAAATACAAAAAATTAGCCGGGCATGGTGGCAGGTGTCAATAGTCCCAGCTACTCGGGAGGCTGAGGCAGGAGAATGGCGTGAACCCGGGAGGCGGAACTTGCAGTGACCTGAGATCGCTCCACTGCACTCCAGCCTGGGTGACAGAGCGAGACTCCGTCTCAAAAAAAAAAAAAAAAGAGCACAGGGTAACTTTTGGGGATGATGGAAATGTTCTGTATCATGATTGTGGTGGTGGTTACATGACTATCCATTTGTCAAAGCTCATCAAAATTGGTGACTTTTATTACATGGTGAATTTTAATTATGCTGATTTAAAATTTAAAAGTAGGTTTCAGCTCAATCCATCCTAATTATTATAACATCTGAGTCAGTCCAATTTCATGGGGGTATTATCTGAGAGGCTTTTATCCCCCATTTTTTTTTAATCGTACTTTCTTTTCTCATGCTATAAGCAGAAAAGTCTAAATGACCCAAGACTCAGAAATGGATAACGGTATTTTCTCACAGTATGTTATATGTAAAATGGTATTCAGAGAACTGAAAATTTTTAAAATCAGTTTTATAATAATACTGATCAAAGCTCTTTTGGAATGGGTGACAGTTTTCAAAATAGACTTCATGTCTAAAAGAAAAAATAGAGAAAGGTAAAGGTAAAAAAAACAAACAAAAACTACTGGGTAAAGAAACCACTAGGAACAAGAGGCCATGGTATCAGTACTTCAATTATAAGAGGTTTTCATTTTAACAATTTTTATGCATTAGTGTAGAAAAAACCTACTTGAATTTTACTGAAAGAAACGTTAGCCGGGCATGGTGGCTTACGCCTGTAATCCCAGCACTTTGGGAGGCTGAGGTGGGCGGATCACCTGAGGTCAGGAGTTCGAGACCAGCGTGACCAATATGGTAAAACCCTATTTCTACTAAAAATACAAAAAAATTAGCCATGCATGGTGGCCGGCACCTGTAGTCCCAGCTACACGGGAGGCTGAGGCAGGAGAATTGCTTGAACCTGGGAGGCGGAGGGTGCAGTGAGCCGACATTGCACCACTGCACTCCAGCCTAGGAGACAGAGCGAGACTCCATCTCAAAAAAGAAAAAAGAAATGTTCATGCAAGAAATCCTTGAGCAGTATGAATTCAGAGATTCTTAAACATGAGGATGTATGGGTTTTCCTTTATAGTGTGTTAAGTAAATTAGAACTACAAGAAAATCTGAACTATATACCTTTTCTGTTGTTACCTACTTCTGAAATGTTTACCACCTTTTTAAAAAAACAAACCATTCCTTGGGTTTGGTGGACAAAAGTGATTTAGGTCGCATTCAAGCAGCCCACCAACCTGTCCCTCAGGAAAGTGGCCTAGAAGAGCAAGTACTGGCTGGCAGAAGGAAGCAGTGCTGAGACAGATTGACTAGCCAGGAAGGGAGGGAGTTCTGGGCTTCAGGCCCAGATGCCACAGGGTACCTGGCATCTTCCCCTTATTTTAAACACAACAGCAAATCTTCAAACTCCAGGTTAACTATCCAGAGCGCCTGAAGCCTTAATCTATGCCCACTGACAGGCTTGTAGGTAGGTAGCATAAGGGAACATTCCACTAACAGGCTCGTAGGTAGATAGCATAAGGGAACATTTCACTAACAGGCTCGTAGGTGGGTAGCATAAGGGAACATTTGAGGAGTGATGTTGGGACTTCTCAACCTTGCTTCTCATATTTGGGGGCTTGCTAGCATTTTGTGACAGGCGCCATGCTAGTTATTTACTCCTATAACTTACCAGTTTTCCCAGTGAGGCGTGTATTTTTCCTATTTTCAGTTGAGGAAACTGAAAGCTCAGAGGAAGTTAGACACTAGGCTAGGGTTATAGATTGCAGATGGTAATGCTGGGATTTGAATCTAGGGATCGCTTGGATTATTTTCCATTTTGCCAGGATGCTTCCCACTTGGCCAAACAGGCCAGAGGCAAGTTCTATGGAGCCCCTGGCAAAGCCAGCCTGCTCTGATGACGTATTTCCTGCCTAGGTGGACACAGTTGATGTCCCATAGTACTTTGGTTTATTTCTCTCCCATGAGAATGCAGCCACTGTTTATTATTTTACAGAACCCAATGCTGGGCAGATACAAGAAGGAATTGGAGAAGCTGTGAACAATATTGTGAAACATTTTCATAAACCTGAAAAAGAGGTATTTATGGGCTATAAAACTTAGTATAGTGGGACTTTTAAAGATGCTTTTATATGTGATACACGAGGCAATATGGGGTGCTTGAATTTTCATTTGTAAGCTTTCTGGTAGCTGTAAAAACATGCTTCATATAGCTACCTTCAGCACTTGCTTCTCTAGTGTTTTTTTTAGACATAGATGCAGGAGATTTTTCTTTGGCACTGTGTGTTATGCCCCACAGAGAGGAAGCCTCACCGTGTTGCTGTGTGGAGAAAATGGCCTGGTTGCAGCCCTTGAGCAAGTTTTCCACCATGGGTTCAAATCTGCCCGCATCTTTCACAAGAATGTCTTCATCTGGGACTTCATAGGTAAATAAAGTAGATGTGTATTACATTAAGGTCACTGAAGCCTTTCTTAGGAACTCAAAGACCCAGGAATCTGAGTGAATAAGGGTTAGTGATAAGGATATATATATTTTTTTTCTTTTTTTTTTTTTGAGACGGAATCTTACTCTGTTGCCCAAGCTGGAGTGCAGTGGTGCGGTCTTGGCTCACTGTAACCTCCGCCTCCCAGGTTCAAATGATTCTCCTGCCTCAGCCTCCCAAGCAGCTGGGACTACAGGTGTGCACCACCATGCCCAACTAATTTTTGTATTTTTAATAGAGAAGGGGTTTCACCATATTGGCCAGGCTGGTCTTGAACTCCTGACCTTGTGATCCACCCGCCTCAGCCTCCCAAAGTGCTGGGATTACAGGAGTGAGCCATCGTGCCCGGCAAGGATATATATATTTTAAAATAAATATTAAATTAGCTGGGTGTGGTAGCACATACCTGTGGTCCCAGCTACCTGGGAGGCTGAGGCAAGAGAATCGCTTGAGCCCAGGAGCCTAGGAGGTGAAGGCTGCAGTCAGCCATGATCAAGCTACTGCACTCCAGCCTGGGCGACAGAGTGAGACCGTGTCTCAAAAAGTGTATATAATAATGATAAATAAATATCAAGTATTGTCTTTGTTTTTCATTTACTCAACAAATTGTAATATGCACAATATTCCAAATAGTATTTGAGTTGCTCAAGATATACATTAGTAAACAAAACAGAAATCCTATGGTTGACAAACTTATACTCAGGTCGGTGTGGGAAACAAACAATACACAAAAACATAACAAATATGTAATTCATATGGTATGTCAGAAATGTGACCATTGATCTGGAAAGAAATAGAGCAGTATAAAAGGAAATAAAGTGGGGAGTGGTCTTTCAAATGGGGTGGTTTTAGATTCTGCTGAATGTCAAGGTACATTGGAGCACAGACTTCATGTAGGTGAGGAAGTGAGCCATGTAGATATCTGGGAGGAGGGACTCCAGGTTGACAGCACTGCCAGTGCTAAGCCCCAAGGCGGAAGTGTTTCCATGGAACTCCAAGCCCAGTGTGACTGGAGCACAGCAAGAGAGAGAAAGTAGGAGATTGGGGGAGGGGGTGTTTAGTGCCAGTGCCAGGTTGTGTAGGGCCTTCTAGGTCATTGGAATGATTTCAGCCTTTATCCTGAATGAAACTGGAAGCTGTTGGAAGGTTTTGAGCTAAGTAGTGACATGATAGAACGTTTTTGTTTGTTTGTTTGAGACAGAGACTCACTCTACTGCCCAGGCTGGAGTGCAGTGGCCCCATCTCAGCTCACTGCAACCTCTGCCTCCTGGGTTCAAGCGGTTCTCCTGCCCCAGCCACTGATTAGCTGGGATTACACCTGCCACCACACCCCTAATTTTTGTATTTTTAGTAGAGATGGGGTTTTGCCATGTTGGCCACGCTGGTCCCAAATTCCGTCCTCAAGTGATCCACTTGCCTTGGCCTCCCAAGGTGCTGGGATTACAGGTGTGAGCCACTGTGCCTGGCCAATTTTTGTAAAAGGATTCCTCTAGCTCTGTGTTGTCCAGTATAGTAACCATTAGCCACATATAGCCATTTAAAATTTAAATCTATTTAATTTTTTTTGTTTGTTTTAGATGGAGTCTCGCTCTGTTGCCCAGGCTGGAGTACAATGGTGTGATCTTGGGTCACCGCAGCCTCTGCCTCCTGGGTTCAAGCAATTCTCCTGCCTCAGCCTGAGTAGCTGGGATTACAGGTGCCTGCCACCACGCCCAGCTAATTTTTGTATTTTTAGTAGAGATGGGGTTTCACCATGCTGGCTAGGCTGGTCTCGAACTCCCGAACTCAGGTGATCTGCCCGCCTTGGCCTCCCAAAGTGCTGGGATTACAGGCGTGAGCCACCATGCCTGGCCAAATCTATTTAATTTAAATCAAATGTAAATGTAAATTTCATTTTCTTAATAACACTGGCCACATTTCAAGTGCTCAGGAGCCACTTGTGGCTACCAAATTGGACCTTGTAGATAGAGAACATTTTCATCATCACAGGAAGCTCTTTTGGAGTGTTTCTGTTCTAGCTTGCTAAGCTTTGTGATCTTTCTTTTGGTATGCAGCTCTTCTAGAATTCCTAGTTTCTTTAAATGGGCAATTAATCATTTTGTGTTTTCTAAATAAGGCCTAGATGAAGTAGTTTATTTCATCTAACTTAGAATAGACAAAAAAAGGAAAGTTGTCAGAGATAGGCCCCCAGGAGTGATTTTTTTTTTTTCTTCTGGAATGCCTAGAATCTTATTGCTTCTGCTTCTCATGTGTATATACATATATCTCTCTTTGTCAGGTACTTATTCAGGTACATTTCAAGGATCTTGTTGCAAAGTGTTAGCAAGTCATTCTGTAACTAGAACATGGGGTATTATTTCAATGGCTACCGTGTCATTGCTGGTTACTCCTAGAAGGTTCCAGTCTTAACAGAAGATGCTATTTTTGTTTTCTTTTTTGCCAGTTTCTGTTTCCTGAAGGTATTTTAAAGGGAGTAAACTTTCCAGTCTTCTGGAATGCAGTCTAAATTAGAAAATAAATTCCTGGGAGCATATTTATTGTTCTACCATGAAACATCGACCCCTAAAATCAATGATAAAGTAATGATATTGGCTTCAGGACTGACTGTATGCAAAGCATCGTTAGTGTTTCCATAATAAATTAAGTGATGAATCTTTCTATATATGAAGTGTTGACACATATTGTGACATAATTCTGACTTTTTTCCTCAGAGAAAGTGGTTGCTTATTTTGAAACAACTGACCAGATTCTAGATAATGAAGATGATGTCCTTATTCAGAAATCATCCTGCAAAACCTTCTGCCACTACGTAAATGCTATTAATACTGCACCCAGGAACATTGGGAAGGATGGCAAATTCCAGATTTTAGTTTGCCTTGGAACAAGGTACAAAACCAGTTTTTTATTTTCCCTATCTTTGTCACATGTTGAACTAGAGTCCAGAAAAGGTTATACCAGATCATACCCCTTCCAGAGCTCTCCTTTGGGTTTCTTTCCTTTTACTTTTTCTTTTGAAACAGAGTCTCACTCCATCGCCTAGGCTGGAGTACCGTGGCATAATCTTGGCTCACTGCAACCTCTGCCTCCTCCCTTGGGTTTCTTTAATTCACCACCACCACTACATGAGGTAGCAACCGATTTTTTCATTTTAAAGATGAGAAAGTAGAAAATAGATGAGGCACACGTAAGTTAGCAGACTTTCCCAAGATCACACAGAAAAATGAGACAGAGCCAGGTTCACACCCTGTCCCACTTCAGAGCCCAAGCTCTCCACCATGACTGTATACTGGCTCGACAGATAGATAGGTAATAAGGAAGTTGTTAGATAACTAGACACATACACTGTACATATTTACTAAGTAAACCTTATATAGTGTATATATACCACTATATTTACATTTAATAACATTATGGGATTCTTGCTATATAAATATCATCTTCTCTTTAAGACTATTTCCTACCCCTTTATTTTTTGAAAGTGGCACATAGGAGCGATACAATCCATTACTTTTAAAACAGATCTCAGAATTGTAAGAAATGAAACATACAGACCTTTAGATTTCTTTTTTTAAGTTACCCATGTAGTATTTGTTTTTTCCTGAACCTTAAGAGCCCCAACTTGAGACTGAAGATGGCCTGATTGGGGATGCTCAATAAGGATGTCTTAGGAACTTAGCAATGGGTTACTAATGTCAGGTTTGATCAGGAAACATTGAAGATGTGAGGTTTTATCTTCCTGAAACAGCTGGTTTACAGAACTAAGTTCTGTATTTCTTCTTCATAAAAGGAGCCCAGTTTTAGCTGTGCTTTTAAAGTTTCTTTTGAGCATGATCTTTATCTCCTTTTATCTCTATACTCTTCTGATTTATTAGACCATTGCAAACTCTCATCTGGTTTATAAAATCTACTTAATGTTTTTCTGCTTTGATTTTGTTCCTCACCCTGTTATGTTATATAAGTTAAAAAAAAAAAAAAAAAAAAAAGCAAGTCCCTACAGTTTAGTGTAGTCTTTCTTCCAAAAGGTCAGTATACTGTGGCATGCCTTGCCACAGAGTAACACTCCTATTAAAAAAAAAGACATAGAAAATGACATTCTGCCTCTTTCTAAAGGTGGTAAAATCAGAATAGAGAATGTCTTTAATGTGCATAGACTTTCTAATGTACTTTAAACTCTTAAAGTACATTAAATTGGGTTTAAAATAATGGGTTTTCCCTTTAGCTTTCTTTACACTGTCTCATCACTGTCTTTTTACCAGAAAATATTCAACTTCTTGGCTTTGATTTCCTCTCTCCTGACCTCTTAGCTTGGATACATTTTGTACCATCAAGTCCCACACCTTCCCATTCATACAGACTCCACTGTGTGCCTTGTTCTGCAGCGAGGCCAGCAATGCTCAGGAATTGTTTCTGTTTGGGTCTGTAGGGATCGCCTGCTCCCACAGTGGATTCCATTGTTAGCTGAGTGTCCTGCCATCACTCGAATGTATGAAGAGAGCGCTCTCCTGCGAGACCGCATGACTGTCAACTCCCTTATCCGAATTCTGCAGACCATTCAGGACTTCACCATAGTCCTAGAAGGATCACTCATCAAAGGAGTGGATGTGTAACCCAACTGGCTAGAAACTCTCAGTCCAAACCTTGCTCCTTCCCCAACTAGGGGACCGATTTGGACTTGTCTGACAGTAGTGAGTCACTGCAGGGGCAGCCAAACATATGCCCCATTTGGAACAATCCTCACTCTACAGACAAGGCAAAATGTTGTATTGTAGTTCATTTGAACCTGGAATTTAGTATAAAATAGAGTATTTTCATGTGTTAGATGTGTGTAAATATGCTATCTTCTTTAAGAAATTATATTACTCTAATAAGATGCTTTTCTTAGATTGAATATTCCTGTGACTTAAAATAAGTAGCTTAAAAATGTTGGGGGTTGGGGGGAAGAGTGGTGCTAGCCAGGAAGAAGCCAGTAAACATGTAAATATAGTGCAACCCAGTCGGGCTTTTTTTTTTCTCCAGGTATCACAAAGAAACCCAGAATGCATTGTTATGTAGTAGCCATCCATCTTGGAGTCTGATCCTTTGTATTGTGGATGCACACAGCTTTACCTACTGTACTGGTAGTCTTCACTTCTATCTTTTAAGTTACAAACTGTTTTATATATTTGAATCGCTAGTCACTTTTCCAGTCTTTTGGAAAAAAATTTCAGTCCGCACAAGATGATATAATTGGAGTATTTTAAACACTAGACCCCAGGAGCTTGGCTGAACTGGAAAGAGAACATACAAAGCTCTGAGAAATGTGTTCAATTGTGGGATTATAACTTCTTTACACTTCGGAAAGATTAGCCTAGACTAACTTCATTCTTGGCATTTTTATTCTTGTTATTTGAGGTACTTTGGGAAGATGTGAATTTCAGTGTTAGATTCATAGTGATAAGAACTGCAAACAGCAATTTGATTCTGTACTTTTAATTTGGCCATCTAAACTGTGCAGTGGTCTACCTCTTAAGGATAACCATGAGCCCTGTCTTTGTTAGGGTCTAATCACCCACCTCTCCAGGGCCCATCCCCCCTCGGGAAATGGAAGGAATGTCTAAGGAGGAGGAGGGCTGTGTGTGGCTTGGAATGTTTTTGTGAAAGCATTTGTTGACCATGATAATGCAAATAACAGAAGGAGAGAGAGAATGAACCCTTTCTGGGTGTTTCAGGGCAAGCTTTACGTTCCTTTGTAGGAAGGGGAGTAATAATGTAAAACAACTGACCCAGAGAAGCTAAAAGCCACTGGCAGCACAGGCTGACAAAATGGAAGCAAAGCAAGAGGTGGCAACAATTTTGAAAGACCAAAAGTTGTGAGTAACTTTCCAGTTTGATAGTTTATAAAGAAGTTAAGTAAATGTAGTATTGGCTAGTTACTGTAAGTCCTCATCTTCTGGTAGGTCCTGTAACTCTAATTAGGCATTTGTACATTTTTAGCAGCAAAATTGCCTCAGCAGAGCTCCCAGTTTTATTCCCAGTTGTGGCTGAAAAGCAAAGCCATGGCATCAGTATCCTTGTGCAATCGGAGGTTGCTGGGCTTTCACCACCTGTGTTGTTAACCTTATTTCCTGGAGGAAGAAACAGATGAAACAAGTGCCTAACTCCCTTTATCAAACACAGCCAAGGACAGCCTCTTTTAACATGTGACTTCATACTTGAGGAAAAGGAGAGTTGACAGCTGTATTTAAAAACCCATGGAGCCGGGTGCGGTGGCTCACGCCTATGATCCCAGCACTTTGGGAGGCCGAGGCAGGCGGATCACAAGGTCAGGAGATTGAGACCCTCCTGGCTAACACCGTGAAACCCCGTCTCTACTAAAAATACAAAAAATTAGCCGGGCGTGGTGGCGGGTGCCTGTACAGGAGGCTGAGGCAGGAGAATGGCGTGAACCCGCGAGGCGGAGCTTGCAGTAAGCTGAGATCGCGCCACTGCCCTCCAGCCTGGGCAACAGAGCAAGACTCCATCTCAAAAAATAAATAGATAAAAATAAAAACCCATGGAAATGGTTTAAGAAAATGGTTCTGGGTACACCAGAAATTTGTTTGCCTGAAGCTAAAGTGTGTCTACAATGGTACAGCTCTTCCAGGGACATGGGAAGTTTATCGTGGGAGATATCCAGAACCTGTTTTACACTGGGCTCCTACTGTGTTTGGTGATCAGAAACTATAGAGGGGTCCAACCCAGGATTTCATGTTTGTATCTTCATAAGGCCATGCTCCTGACAGGTCTAGGCAACCTGGGGGATGACTTAGGTTAATGTGCTAGGATTGACACACCTCATCCAGCCTTCTTACTTTGTGGATGGGAACACTTAAGGAATAGAGAGATTAAATCTTACACTTACCCCACAGCTGGTTACTGACAACACAAGCTCTAGAATTCATGTTTGTTTGTTTGTTTTATTTCACCAGGCTGCATGAGACTGACCTTCCGGCATTCTTACTAATAGTCTTTCTATTATACTATTGGATCTTTATTCATCCACCTATACAAGTAGGAAATAAGGATGAATATTCATTTAGAAGAATTAATATTCATATTAACACATTGCTCTCAGATTATTGGGAATTAACATCTTGTAAAAACTGGGAGCAGGCCAGGTACGGTGGCTAACGCCTGTAATCCTGACACTTTGGGAGTCTGAGGCGGGTGGTTCATCTGAGGTCAGTCGGGAGTTCAAGACCAGACTGGCCAACATGGTGAAACCCCGTCTCTACTAAAAAAAAAAAATAGACAAAAATTAGCGGGGGGGTGGTGGCAGGGCCTGTAATTCCAGCTACTCAGGAGGCTGAAGCAGGAGAATCGTTTAAACACAGGAGGTGGAGGTTGCAGTGAGCCGAGATTGTGCCACTGCACTCCAACCTGGGTGACAAGAGCGAGACTCCGTCTCAAAAAAAAAAAAAGAAAAAAACTGCAGCCAAAGTTGGATTTGCGGCCTATGAATAAAACCATTACTTTAAAAAGTAATACCCCCAAAAAAGTTACACCTGAAGTTTCATCTTCATGCCTTTGTGTAATATTACTATAATGGTGAAATGATGATTTAAAAAAAACACATCAGAACTGACACATCCTCTTGGATGATGGGTCCTTCAGTCACCTTGTGAGCCCATGTACTTATTCCGTTGATACAGCCTGTGCTATAAACATGTGGGGCCCTCCTTGTGTGAGCTGCTTGAATGGCCAGTACCCCCATTCTTTTGAATATTCCCAATGGCAGTCAATCTTGGCCTTTAAGAATAAATTTAAATATTTGGAAATAGTCCTTAGGATCCAAGTTTGATCAATGAAAAGGATGCTTAAGCTGAGTTTGGGGTCACATAAGAAGTGCAGTTATAAAGAAATAAGACATGTTGGGCATGGCAGTACACACCTGTAGTCCCAGCTGCTTGGGAAGCCAAGGCAGGAGGATCACTTCAACCCAGGAGTTTGAGTCCAGCCTGGGTAACATAGGGAAACCCCATCTCAAAAAAACAAAACAAAGGACTTAGTTTTTATGTGGCTCATAAGTGTCTCTAAGTTATACCAAAAGTTTGAGCACAACAGTAGTAGCAGAATGCTTAGAATAAATGCTTGACTTTTAAGCTGACTTTTGGAAGGACCATACCCACATAGAGGCATCTTTTCTGCTGTGGTAATTTTTTAAATTAATACATTGCTTTAGGATTACATCTCAAAGTAAATAAAAAAATCAATATTTAATTTGTTTTTTTCCTGCAAATAAATTAAATGCTGGGACCATAATGATTATTTTTGCATAGTAATAGCTGGTGAAGAAGTTGTTTTAAAATTAAATTGCCAAAAGTATTACCTCTTGAAAAATTTATTTTCCCAAAGTTTTTCATATGTCATGAAACCCCTAATCTTGACCTTTATGACACAGTGGCATTACACTGATGTTGGAAGCATGTGTGAGATCTGTGCCCTGGTCGGGAGTCATATGCCTTAAAAATGACTGCGAGTCAGTGTGAAGTAGTATAAAGTGGAGTCCTACGTGGGAAAAAGCAGGCTACTGAGGACAAAAACCTCCCAACCCTCCCCACCTTGTTTTCCACTGGGAATGAGAATTTGATATGAGAAACTTCAACCTTGCAGAAGTGTGGATTTCCCTCTGAAATTTAAATGTTTCACACATTTTTGTACCTTTTGTAACCTTGTGGTATTTACTTTCACATGGCTTTTTAAAAAATTATTTTAATGAACTTCTATCACACTATATGAATGATATGGGGGAAATACTGAACTGCTCATATTTCCTTTTTTGGCAATAAAGCACTGTTATATGTAAATGTAAGTGAAAAAGAGGTTCAAGACTATACAACAGCTTATGTGTAGTATATGTTGACATCCCTAAGGTATTTTGAAACATGAGGTGACAGACAAGGACCTCAAATTTCCAGGGAAATATTTATTTCACAACATTAGGAGTGTAGCTCTTCATAATGAAATATCTTCTTTCTGCTAAAGATTACAATTTTTCATTTAGGGAACTGTGAATATTTTCTGTGAGGTTTACAGAAACTAGTGTATCCTTTTCACTATGTTGAAAAGACAATCTGAACTTTAGCTATTTATATTTCAGTATTAACACACCTTCACTGATTGAGAGTCTTGAGCCCTTCTCTACTTTTATAAAGTGAATCCTATTTCCAAGTCATCCATGTCTTTTGAAGTCTGTTTCTTATATAAGTATTTATTACTTTACTGTTTAGCATAAATAGGAGACAGAAAAGGATAATAAACTACTAGGTCCTTTATTCCTATTAAAATAAATTTATAAATCCCTTGAATCAACTGAATTCTAAGCTTTTTGAAGAGGTTGCTGATGTAGTGTGATCAAAAGAATCTAAGGAGAACCTCCTCTCCAAAATCTGATTGGAGCTGTTCACCCTCTCAAGGACAAGATAAAGATTGACTTCAGAGATATATCACATCAAGCTAGAGGAAAAAAAAAAAACCTCAAATAAAATTTTTCCTCATTCGAAGGGATCCAGGGTATCCTTGGGTTATGTAGGAGGGAATCATATTTGTTCTAATTTACCTGAATGTACTTGTGTGTGAATCCAATCTTGATTCTAAACACCAAATCTTGTCAACAGTAGAGAAGTATAGTAAGGAGTTCCTGTTGTCAATCAAATGAGGGTGTGAAACATTTAGAATGCTCTGTGTTACACTTGAACCATGTATAAATGTAACCTGTGTATCTTTTTTTTAATTAGCTTTTCTGAATTTAAATTATATTGTTTTTCTTTGTATTGTTAGCAAAATGCATCAGAACTGGATTTTTTTTCTCATCTGAACATAATATAAAATTTGAAAGAGTATTGTGATATTAAGCACTTTAACATACATATCAGACAAACTGACGTGGGTTTTTCAGGTTTGGGAGTACATTTAAATATGACTTTTCATGCTTTGTTCTTTACAAATAAAACTGTGGGATTGATACTTTGTTTTGCTTCATTGTTGTAGAATCTTGATAGTGTTTCATAGGATAAGAGACTTCAGAAAGCAGAGAGATCAAACCAAAACCATTATGTAGAAAAAAAGAGCCTTCTGAGTAAGGGGTGAAAATTTGAACCCTACCTCACACCATACAGAAAAATCAATTCTTGGTGGCTTAGCAACCTAAATGTGAAAGATGAAACATAATTTTTAGGAGAAAATACAAAATGTACTTATTAACTTGGGAAAGGGAAGTTTTCTTAAGACATTTAAATTATAAAGGATAAGTGATAAATTTGACTATGTTCACAGGTGTTTTGCTATAAAAAAATTGACTATATAAAAATTAAGAATTTCTGGTCATCAAAATATATCATTAAAAAGGAGAAGGCCTGTAATCCCAGCATTTTGGGAGGCCAAGGCGAGTGCATCACTTGAGGTCAGGAGTTCAAGACCAGCCTGGCCAACATGGCAAAACCCTGTCTCTCCTAAAAATACAAAAATTAGCTGGGTGTGGTGACAGGTGCCTGTAATCCCAGCTACTCGGGAGGCTGAGGCAGGAGAATCGCTTGAACCCGGGAGGCGGAGGTTGCAGTAGCTGAGATCATGCCACTGCACTACAGCGTGGGGGACAGGAGTGAGACTTCATCTCAAAAAAACAAAACAAAAACCATGAAATTCTTTTTTTTTTTTTTTTTTTTTTTTTTTTTGAGACGGAGTCTCACTCTGTCACCAGGCTGGAGTGCAGTGGTGCAATCTTGGCTCACTGCAACTTCCACCTCCCAGGTTCAAGTGATTCTCCTGTCTCAGCCTCACGAGTAGCTGGGACTACAGGTGCGTGCCACCATGCCTGGCTAATTTTTTGTATTTTTAGTAGAGATGGGGTTTCACCATATTAGCCAGGATGGTCTCGATCTCCTGACCTCGTGATCTGCCCAACTCGGCCTCCCAAAGTGCTGGGATTACAGGCGTGAGCCACTGTGCCCGGCCCTAAAATACACGTTAAATTATTGCTCTCATAGTTTATATTCCAGTGGAGGAGTTACATAATAAACATACGTAATAAATATAGTAATTAGATAGCAATAATAGTGGCGGGATGCAGTGGCTCACGCCTGTAATCCCAGCACTTTGGGAGGCCATGGAGGGTGGATCACAAGGTCAGGAGTTCGAGACCAGCCTGGCCAACATGGTGAAAACGTCTTTACTAAAAATACAAAAATTAGCCAGGCGTGGTGGCATGCACCTGTAATCCCAGCTACTCGGGAGGTTGAGGCAGAAGAATTGCTTGAACCTGGGAGGCGGAGGTTGCAGTGAGCCAAGATTGTGCCACTGCACTCCAGCCTGGGTGACAGAGCAAGACTGTCTCAAAAAAAAATAAATAATAATAGCAAATGGCCGGGTGTGGTGGCTCATGCCTGTAATCCCAACAGTTTGGGAGGCTGAGGCAGGCAGATCTCTTGAGGCCAGGAGTTCAAGACCAGCCTGACCAACATGGTGAAACCTCATCTCTACTAAAAATACAAATATTAGCCAGGTTTAGTGGTGGGCGCCTGTAATTCCAGCTACTGGGGAGACTGAGGCAGAAGAATTGCTTGAACATGGGAGGCAGAGGCTACAGTGAGCCGAGATCATGCAACTGCACTCCAGCCTGGACAATAGAGTGAGAATCTGCTCAAAAAAATAAAAATAAAAAATAAAATAACAGCAGAGAAGAGGGATTGAAAGTATAGTTGGGGCTGCTGACTACAATTAATGGGTTGCTAGGGAAGGCCTTACTGAAAAATGGAGTTGCCTTTAACTGAGATTGGAAAAGCTGTAAAAGAAAACAAGTTTGGCTGGGCACGGTGGCTCATGCCTGTAATCCCAGCACTCTGGGAGGCCAAGGCAGGCGGATCACCTGAAGTCAGGAGTTCAGGACCAGCCTGGCCAACATGGTGAAACCCCGTCTCTACTAA
The DNA here is from genome assembly GCF_000001405.40 of Homo sapiens. NCBI lineage: Eukaryota > Metazoa > Chordata > Mammalia > Primates > Hominidae > Homo > Homo sapiens. The sequence continues at coordinate 31,380,270 of NC_000012.12, read as the reverse complement.
AAATACAAAAAACTAGCTGGGCGTGGTGGTACACACTTGTAATCCCAGCTACTCGAGAGGCTGAGGCTGGAGAATCACTTGAACCCGGGAGGTGGAGGTTGCAGTAAGCCAAGATCGCACCATTGCACTTCAGACTGGGGGACAAGAGCGAGACTTCATCTCAAAAAAAAAAAAGGAAAAAAAGAAAAGAAAAGTTTGTGGGAGGAGCATCAAGAGCTACTTTTGGGGATAACAAATTTGCGATGCTTTTGAGACACCTTTTAGACATCCAGATAGAGATGCTGGGTAAGCATCTGCACATATGGATTGGGAGTTCAGGAGAGAATAATAGTGTATTCATCACGGTCCAATCAGGAGACAGAAACCACACAGCAATTTGAACTGGGGTAGTTGAATGTAAAGAATAATGTAGGCTGGGCGTGGTGGGTCACGCCTGTAATCCCAGCACTTTGGGAGGCCAAGGTGGGTAGATCATGAGGTCAGGAGTTTGAGACCAGCCTGAACAACATGGTGAAACCCTATCTCTACTAAAAATACAAAAAGTAGCCAGGCGTGGTGGCGCGTGCCTGTAACCCCAGCTACTCTGGAGGCTGAGGGAGGAGAATTGCTTGAAGCCGGGAGGCGGAGGTTGCAGTGAGCCGAGATCGCACCACTGCACTCCAGCCTGGGCAACAGAGAGGGACTGTCTCAAAAAAAAAAAAAAAAGTATAATGTATTAGGGTTCTCCAGAGAAACAGAACTAATAGGATATGTTATAGATAGAGAAACATTTTAAGGAATTGGCTCACACAATTGTGGAGGCCTGGGGAGTCTAAATCTTTATTGTGGGCCATCAGGTTGGAGACTCAGGGAAGAGACAGTTCAAGCCAAAAGGCAGTCTGCTGGCAGAATTTCTTCTTGCTCAGGAGGAAGTCAGTCTTTTTTATATTAACTCCTTAAACTGGATGAGGCCCACCCATATTACGGATAGTAATTTGCTTTACTCGAAGTCCACCAATTAAAATGTTAATCTCGCCAGGCACTGTAATCCCAGCACTTTGGGAGGCCGAGGTGGGTGGATCACAGGGTCAGGAGTTCGAGACCAGCCTCACCAACATGGTGAAACGTCGCCTCTACTAAAAATACAAAAATTAGATGGGCATGATGGCACACGCCTGTAATCCCAGCTACTCAGGAGGCTGAGGCAGGAGAATCGCTTGAACCCAGGAGGCAAAGGTTGCAGTGAGCCGAGATCATGCCACAGCACTCCAGCCTGGGTGACAGAGCAAGGCTCCATCACAAAAAAAAACAAAAAACAAAACCATTAATCTCATCCAAAAACACCTTCATAGTAGTATCCAGAATAATGTTTGACCAAGTTTCTGGGCACCCTGGCCCAGTTAAGTTGAACTAAGATTACCTATCACAAACAATAACAAGAAATTGGAATAATGGAGGATCTGATGCCAGGTGATGAAAACAAAACTCTTAATATAAGAAAAACATTTATAGGGAACAGCCATTAACTATAGGGCTGAGTTGGCTGGGCGCCGTGGCTCACATCTGTAATCCCAGCACTTTGGGAGGCTGAGGCGGGCGGATCACGAGGTCAGGAGATCGAGATCATCATGGCTAACATGGTGAAACCCCATCTCTACTAAAAATTAAAAAACTTAGCCAGGCATAGTGGCGCATGCCTGTAGTCCCAGCTACTCTGGAGGCTGAGGCAGGGGAATCGCTTGAACCCAGGAGGCAGAGGTTGCTGTGAGCAGAGATCACACCACTACACTCCAGCCTGGGCAACAGAGTGAGACTCCGTCCCCCCCAAAACAAAAACAAAAACAAAAAACAAAAAAAACCGATAGGCCTGAGTCAAGGCAAATCTAAATGAGCCCCCTCTGCCTGAGGTTGAACCAGACCCTGACAGAGGGTACAACCTTCTCTCTGGGTGGCAAAGAAGTTTACTGAGGCTGGGCACAGCGGCTCACACCTGTAATCTCAACACTGTGGGAGGCTGAGGCAGTCGGATTGCTTGAGCCTAGGAGTTCGAGACTAGCCTGGGCAACATAGCAAAACCCCGTCTCTACTAAAAATACAAAATATTAGCCTGGCGTGGTGGCACGTGCCTGTGTTCCCAGCTACCTGCAGGGCTGAGGTGAGAGGATTGCTTGAGCCCCAGAGGTGAAGGTTGCAGTGAGCCGAGATCGTGCCACTGCACTCCTGTCTGGGCAATAGAGTGAGACCCAGTCTCAAAAAAATAAAAATGAGTTTACTGAGACATTTAAAATAAGTGGACTTGTTTGGAATCTGCCCCCAGGTGCCAAGGACACATCCATGAGGAGGTGCCATACTCCAGAACTTGCTGGGACACCACAGAGGAAATTCAATGTCTTGGTCTGGATTTGGGGAGCTATAGCTGGACTTTAGATATAAATTTGGGAGTTTCCAGCATGTATAAATGGAACTTAATGTCATGAAACCAATATTAAATCATGTGTTCATGAGAACACAAAGGGATTGAGTTATTAAATCTAAAACATTGATTTTAATTTTGTGATATGGATGTGGCATGATTTGTTTGACATTTAGATTACTCTCATTTTTTTCACTATTCTGAACAATGTTACGATGAAAAACGTTACAGGCACGGTGACTCAACCCGTAATCCCAGCACTTTGGGAAGATGAGGCAGGAGGATCACTGGAGCCCAGGAGTTCAAGACCAGCCTGGGGAACATACTAAGACCCTGTCTCTCTACTAAATAAATAAATAAATAGAAAAGAAAGACATCTAAATAGCTCCCAATGTTTCTCTATTCCAAAAAAACTATAATGAACAAACATCCTTATTTTGTAAGAAATTACCTCTTTTATTTATTTATTTATTTATTTATTTATTTAAAGATGGAGTTTCGCTCTTGTTGCCCAGGCTGGAGTGCAATGGCATGATCTCGGCTCATCGCAACCTCTGCCTCCCAGGTTCAAGCGATTCTCCTGTCTCAGCCCCCCTAGTAGCTGGGATTATGGCATGCGCCACCACGCCCGGCTAATTTTGTATTTTTAGTAGAGACGGGGTTTCTCCATGTTGGTCAGGCTGGTCTCAAACTCCCGACCTCAGGTGATCCGCCCACCTCGGCCTCCCAAAGTGCTGGGATTACAGGCATGAGCCACCGCGCCCGGCCTAGAAATTACCTCTTTTAAAGGTCAAAGGCAAATGTTAACAACTCCATAGGATTCAACCTAATATTTTTGATAATTCTTTTGATTCTTTATCCTGACATGTACTGTACTTTGATTCAAATATATACGATTTTAGAACATGTTGAAAAAAGGAAAAAAAAAGAGCAATTAATGTGGGTTGCAAAGCCTAAAAATAAGTCACTCAAATGAGGGCTGGTGCGTGGGCCAGATGCTCCCTGTTCTCTAGAATAATATAAGCTTGAGGTCTATCATTTGCTTAACCCATAGCCTGTGTTCTTTTTTTTTTTTTTTTTTTTGAGACGGAGTCGCCCTGTCGCCCAGGCTAGAGTGCAGTGGCATGATCTCAGCTCACTGCAACCTCTGCCTCCCAGGTTCAAGCAATTCTCCTGCCTCAGCATCCCAAGTAGCTGGGATTACAGGCATACACCACCACACCCAGCTAATTTTCTTTGTATTTTTAGCAGAGACAGGGTTTCACCATGTTGGCCAGGCTGGTTTCAAACTCCTGACCTCAAGTGATCCACCTGTCTCGGCCTCCCAAAGTGCTAGGATTACAGGCGTGAGCCACTGCGCCTGGCCAACCTGTGTTCTTAAATGCCTCAAAACTTTCTTGAATTTCTCACTTATATCCTATTCAAAAATAACAAAAAGGCTGGGCGCAGTGGCTCACGCCTGTAATCCCCCTACTTTGGAAGGCCGAGCCGGGCGGATCACAAGGTCAGGAGATCCAGACCATCCTGGCTAACACGGTGAAACTCCGTCTATACTAAAAATACAAAAACATTAGCCGGACGTGGCGGCGTGCGCCTGTAGTCCCAGCTGCTGGGGAGGCTGAGGCAGAAGAATGGCGTGAACGCGGGAGGCGGAGCTTGCAGTGAGCCGAGATGGCGCCACTGCACTCCAGCCTGGGTGACAGAGCAAGACTCCGTCTCAAAAAAAAAAAAAGCTTCAAAACATGAAGAAGGAAAAAAGCCTGATGGAATCAATGAGAAATAGACAAATCTTCAATTATAGTCAGATCCTGTTGTCAATAATTGATAGAATAGAAAATCAGGGCCGGGCACAGTGGCTCACGCCTGTAATCCCAGCACTTTGGGAGGCCGAGGCAGGTGGATCACGAGGTCAGGAGCTCAAGACCAGCCTGGCCAGCATGGTGAAACCCCATCTCCAGTAAAAATACAAAAATTAGCCAGGCATGGTGGTGTGCGCTTGTAGTCTAGCTACTCAGGAGACTGAGGCAGGAGAACTGCTTGAACCCAGGAGGCAGAGGTTGCAGTGAGCTGAGATCGTGTCACTGCACTCCAGCCTGGGTAACAGAGCGAGACTCCATCTAAAAAAAAAAAAAAAAAAAATTCCAACAAAACAACAGCAGAATATGCATTCTTTCCAAGTACACAAAAATCATTTATCAAGATTGGTCAGGCCGGGCACAGTGGCTCATGCCTGTAATCCCAGCACTTTGGGAGCCCAAGGCAGGCTTATCACTTGAGGTCAGTACTTTTGAGAGCAGCCTAGTCAACGTGATAAAACCCCATCTCTACCAAAAAATACAAAAATTAGGTGAAAAAATTAGCTGGGCGTGGTGGCAAGGGCCTGTAATCCCAAACTACTCAGGAGGCTGAGGCAGGAGAATCACTTGAACCCAGGAGTCGGAGGTTGCATTAAGCTGAGATCATACTACTGCACTCCAGCCTGGGTGACAGAGCGAGACACTGAAACAAATAAAATAAAACACAGGGAAAATCTTTTTCACCAAAGATTTCTTAGATACAACAAGAAAATGCAGTACATAAAATAAAAACTTGATAAAGTGGACTTCACAAAACTTTTTTCTTTTTTTTTTTTTTTGAGACAAAGCCTGGCTCTGTCTCCCAGGCTAGAGTGCAGTGGTGTGATCTCAGCTCACTGCAGCCTCTGCCTCCCAGTTTAAGTGATTCTTGTGCCTCAGCCACCCGAGTAGCTGGGATTACAGGCACTAGCCACCACACCCAGCTAATTTTTGTTATTTTTAGTAGAGACGGAGTTTCACCATGTTGGCAAGGCTGGTCTCGAACTCCTGACCTCAGTTGATCCACCTGCCTTGGCCTCCAAAAGTGCTGAGATTACAAGTGTGAGGATGTCATAAAATTAAGAATGGCCAGGCATGGTGTTTCATGCCTGTAATTCCAGGCATGGGATTATATCCTTTGGGAGGCCAAGGTGGGAGGATCACTTGAGGCCAGGAGTTTGAGATCAGCCTGAGCAACACGGCAAAACTCTGTCTGTCTCTCTCTCTCTACAAAAAGAAAAGAAAAAAAAAAAGATGGGCCAGGCGCAGTGGCTCACACCTGTAATCCCAGCACTTTGAGAGGCCAAGGCAGGTGGATCACCTGAGGTCAGGAGTTCAAGACCAGCCTGGCCAACATGGCGAAATCCAGTCTCTACTAAAAATACAGAAATTAGCCGTGTGTGGTGGCGCTTGCCTGCAATCCCAGCTACTTGGGTCGCTGAGGCAGGAGAATCGCTTGAACCCAGGAGGCGGAGGTTGCAGTGAGCCAAGACTGCACCACTGCACTCCAGCCTGGGTGACAGAGCAAGACTCTGTCTCAAAAAAAAAAAAGAAAAAAGAAAAAGATGGACAGTGTCTTTGTTCATTCAGGCTTCTATAAGAAAATACCAGCCTGGGCAACATAGGGAGACCCCATTTCTACAAATATCAAAAAATTGGCCAGGCATGGTGTCATGCACCTGTTGTCCCAGATACTTGGAAAGCTGAGGTGGGAGCATTGTTTGAACTCAGGAGGTTGAAGCTGCAATGAGCCATGATCATGCCACTGTACTCCAGCCTGGGTAACAGAGCAAGACCCTGTCTCAAAAAAAGAAAAGAAAAAAATACCATATGCGGGATGACTTATAAAGAATAAACAACAGGTCGGGTGTGGTGGCTCATGCCTGTAATCCCAGCACTTTGGGAGGCTGAGGTGGGCGGATCACATGAAGTCAGGAGTTTGAGACCAGCCTGACCAATATGATGAAACCCCATCTCTACTAAAAATACAAAAATTAGTTGGGCTTGGTGACGGGTGGCTGTAATCCCAGCTACTCGGGAGGCTGAGACTGGAGAATTGCTTGAACCTGGGAGGAAGAGGTTGCTGTGAGCTGAGATTGTGCCACTGCACTCTAGCCTGGGCAACAAGAGCAAACTCTGTCTCAAAAACAAAACAAAACAAAACAAAAAACAGACATAATTGTGGAGGCTGGGAAGTCCAAGAGCCAAGGTGCTAGTATCTGGTGAGAGCCTATTCCTCACAGACGGTGCCTTACAGCTGTGCACTCACATGGTGGAAGGGGTAAACAATCTCCTTTGGCCCTCTTATAAGGGCGTGAAGCCCATTCATCACCTCTCAAATGACCCCAACTCTTAATACTATCACATTGGAGATTAGGTTTCAATGTACGAATTTTGAGGGGATACAAAAGTTGTGACCATAACAATGATCAAGCTCATATGCTTCTTATTCTGACCAAAGATCTGGTGGAACATGTTTGCAGCAGAGGCCTTGGGTCCTGAAAGAAATAAATCTGCCAGGCCCAGGACTAAGTACTCTTCTACCAGAATGTATGCTCTCTGAAAGAAATTTAGGAGAATGCAAAGATAAGCCACAGACTGGTAGAGAATATTAGCAACACACATATCTGGCAAAGGGCTTGTATCCAGAGTATATAATGAACCCTCAAAATGCAATAATAAGATAAACAGCCCAACAACAAAAAAAGGGCAAATGGCCGGGCGCAGTGGCTCACTCATGCCTGTAATCCCAGCACTTTGGGAGGCCGAGATGGGCAGATCACGAGGTCAGCAGATCAAGACCATCCTGGCTAACACGGTGAAACCCTGTCTCTACTAAAAATACAAAAAAAAAAATTAGCCGGGCGTGGTGACCGGCGCCTGTAGTCCCAGCTACTCGGGAGGCTGAGGCAGGAGAATGGCGTGAACCCAGGAGGCGGAGCTTGCAGTGAGCCGAGATCGCATCACTGCACTCCAGCCTGGGGGACAGAGCAAGACTCCATCTCAAAAAAAAAAAAAAGCGTGCAAATGATTTGAATAGGCACTTCACCAAAGAAAAACATAAAAGGATGTCAAAAAGCCCACAAAAGGCTGGACACAGTGGGTCATGCCTTTAATCCCAGCACTTCAGGAGGCCAAGGCAGGAGGATTGCTTGAGCTCAGGAGTTTGAGAACATTCTGAGCAACATAGCGAGACCCTGTCTCTACAAATAGTTTAAAATTTAGGCCAGGCTCAGTGGCTCACACCTGTAATCCAAGCACTTTGGGAGGCCGAGGCGGGCAGATCACGACGTCAAGAGATGGAGACCATCCTGGCCAACATGGTGAAACCCCATCTTTACTAAAAATACAAATTAGCTGGGCGTGGTGGCGCCAGCCAGTAGTCCCAGCTACTTGGGAGGCTGAGGCAGGAGAATCACTTAAACCCAGGAGGTGGAGCTTGCAGTGAGCCGAGATCGCGCCACTGCACTCCAGCCTGGCAACAGAGTGAGACTCCATCTCTAAAAAAAAAAAAATTAGGCTGGGCACGGTGGCTCACTCCTGTCATCCCAGAAATTTGGGAGGCCAAGGCAGGTGGATCACCTGAGGTCAGGAGTTCAAGACCAGTCTGGCCAACATGGTGTAACCCCGTCTCTACTAAAAAAATACAAAAATCAGCCAGACCTAGTGGTGCGCACCTGTAATTCCAGCTACTTGGGAGGCTGAGGCAGGAGAATCACTTGAACCTGGGAGGTGGAGCTTGCAGTAAGCCAAGATGGCGCCACTGCACTCCAGCCTGGCAACAGAGCAAGTCTCCGTCTCTTAAAAAAAAAAAAAAAAAAATTAGGCCGGGCGCGGTGGCTCACTTCTGTCATCCCAGAAATTTGGGAGGCCAAGGCAGGTGGATCACCTGAGTTCAGGAGTTCAAGACCAGCCTGGCCAACATGGTGTAACCCCGTCTCTACTAAAAAAATACAAAAATCAGCCGGGCCTAGTGGTGCGCACCTGTAATTCCAGCTACTTGGGAGGCTGAGGCAGGAGAATCACTTGAACCCGGGAGGCGGAGGTTGCGGTAAGCCAAGATCACACCACTGCACTCCAGCCTGGGCGACAAGAGCAAAACTCTGGCAAAAAAAAAAAAAAGAGAGAGAATTACCTAATTCTCATAGATTTTAGTTTACGTATTTGTCTTTTTTTTTTTTTTTTTTTTTTTTTTGAGACAGAGTCTTCTCAGTTGCCTAGGCTGGAGTGCAGTGGTGCAATCTCAGCTCACTGCAACATCCTCCTCCGGGGTTCAAGAGATTCTCCTCTCTCAGCCTCCCGAGCAGCTGGGACTACAGGCACGAGCCACCTGGTTAATTTTTCTATTTTTAGTAGAGCCGGGGTTTCACTATGTTGACCAGACTGGTCTCGAACTCCTGACCTCAAGTGACCCACCCACCTCGGCTTCCCAAAGTGCTGGGATTACAGGAGTGAGCCACTGCGCCTGGCCTTGTATATTTAGTTTAGAACAATGCCTGGCACACAGTAAGAAAACAAAAAATGTTACCTACAAAAAAGAAAAAGGAATCCTACCTCTGAGTGCAGTCTCACCTGAATTCTTTCCCTCCCACCCCCACCTCTGGGTTTGTTAAGTCATTCTCCCCTCCCACAGGATCTGCACCACTGTTCCTCCTTTATCACACTCACTTGTCACACAAGTTTTTAACCTTTGGGCAGCTATAAATTCCTTTGACAATCTAAGGAAAGCTACACCATCCCCAGGAAAACACACATATGCACGCACACACACACTCTTAGGTACAATTCTGGGGTGCCTATAGAACTCTAACACTAACCTGCCTTTTTAGATCCCTGAGTTAAATGGACATTAATGTCAAAGACTCCTTATTCCTTTGGAGCAGCAAACCTCAACAGGTCACAGGAGATTCCCAGAGCAGATCCTTACTGCAAGGATCAGAGTCCAAACGAGGCTTCACCAATCTGAGCTCATCTGAGATGCAAATTGCATTTCTCCCAGGCGGGGAGAGGACTCTCATTGTTCCTTCCTGACTGCATTTTTAGAGCTGACCCTTCACCCTCATGGGGGAAGGGCGCTACAGGGATGAGGGCAGGGAGGAGGCCGGTTACCAAATGAAAGAATGGGGCTGCTGGAGATTCTAAGATCATTTATTTATAAACTTCTGCAGCCCTGCTAACATCCATGCTTGTGATTTACCTCACCTCTGTCTCCCAGTTGGTAATCAACAAACCCGTACTACCAAAATGACCTATGCTTCTGTCTTCTGCCGCAGGAGAGGGTGATAACACGGGAGGCTGCTCTCCCACCCCACCCTTTGAGAAAAAGAGGAAGACTGGCCAGTATAAACGTGGCAAATAGCCCTGTCACTTCCCATAAGTTCTGTAATCTCCGTGAGCTTCCATTTTGCCTTTAGAGTGGGAATAATAAAACAGACCTCATACTTTTGTGTGAAAGCGAGGGAACTGCAAATCTCCTGCCCCTAGTAGCACTAATAATTGTTAGCTGCTGCTTCTTAATATTACATAGCACCTGGAAGGATGACGGGCCTGCTTGCTAAAGCTGGCTGTGAGTTTGGGGTCGGCTTGAGGAGAAGAGCAGAGTGCAGGGAGCTTCCTGGAACAGGGCCTGTCTGTCTTATACTTTCACTCTAGACAGCCCTTTCCCGTTTTGGTGTTCAGGAAATATGCCCCAGATCTTCAAGGGCTTCACCGTCCCTTCCCTTTAACTAGGATTCAGATGCCCTCATCTACAGACGGTTCCGTCATAAGGCCAAAAATGATTGGATTCAAAGGATCTGAAAGATTGGTCCAGCCCTTTCTTTATTCTGATTAGAAACAGTCCCAGAGGTGACGTGATTTGCCCAAAGTAGCGCAACTTCCTGGAACGAGAAACCAATCCTAAGATTTCCATGTCGGCGTTCTTTCCGCGGTGATCGGGTTACCTCCCAGACATAGGATTTACTTTTGAAAGAAAAGGAGCGGTCACACGGGAGAGGCATTGAAGGAAAAATTATTTGAATTTGGCAACTGCTTGTGGTGGGGGGATGAGAGGTGGAGGGTGATAAAGCGCCCCCTCACACTCACACACAAATAATGTGAACAATTTTAAATTGCTTTACTTTAGGAGATCATGGATTTTCCAGGGGGGCTGAGAACTTACCTGTTTACCCAGCCAAGTTAACAATACTCTGCATTGTTTACCTAACGCAGAGTAGGTACTGAAGAACTATTTGTCGCACGGATGACTGCATGACCGGATGCATCCCATTCCATCATAGAGTCAGATGAGGATTTGCAGAGCCAAGCCCCACCTGGGAGGCATGTTAAGTCCTTTCCAGTTCTTCTCAATTATGGCTCTGCAGTGAGTATCTTTTGTTCATAAATTCTTGACTGCACATCTTGATTATCTCCTCAGGATATTTTCCTAGAAGTGGGATTACTGGATTGAAGGGGATGCACATATTTAAGATTCTTGATTCCGAACCCCTCCAGCAGTATAAAAATGAGTCCGCTTCCCAGCAAGCTGGCCCAAACAGGCTATTATCAGGCTTAATTTTTATTTTTTATTTTTGTGCCCTCCTAATAGAACAAAAATCGCATCTCGTTTGGTTTGCATCTCTTTGGGGACTAATTAGATCGAGATTGAACTAGTTTTGAAGAAACACTCTAAGGAGTCCAGAGAAATCCTGTGTGGGGCAGGAGATCCATGAAAGGAGGCACATCCCGCCCACTGAGGTGAAACCAAAGGGCTTCTATTGTTTGGTGTGATTTAACCTTAAGATGGAAACATCTGAGCCTTGCTAGAGAGGCTTCCCCGGAACAACGGCTGGGGGTGGGGAGCTGTGACTTATCAGCTTCCCTATGTTTATTTTCATTTCCTGATGGAGAGTAAATCTTATAAACAAATGAAAAACCTGTGGACTTATCTTTAAAGACTACAAGGAAAAGGGGAACTGGGCAAACTATTGCAACTCAAAGTCGTGGAAAGGCAGGAGGGGGAGTGGGGAATTTAGAAAGATATTTCCAAGAGATGGCAGATAGGTCCCTGGGGGCCTGTGGCCAGCCTGGAGAGGGAGAGACCAAGCCAGAGGCTGTGGAAAGCTCTAGAGACTTTGTACTAGAAAGGCTGCTGTTGGTGGCAGAGCTTACATGGCCAGGGATCCCGGAGGACCTGGAAGGGGTTTTAATGGACTTTTGAGAATCAAAGTGAACTGCCAGGGACAAACAAGAGTGGCGAGGAAATGGAAGCAGTCATACCACTCAGGCTGGAAAATCGCTCTAGGAATGGCAAGAAGGTAGGTGTGGCGTTTTCCAAGAGAAGAGGGTGATGGTCAGCTGGGAGCTTTCCTTGACTATGAAACAAGGAAGACTTCTCCCCCATCCAGAGCCAGGAGCTGTCCCTGCTCTTCACTTAAGCACTGGGTTCTTTTACAAACCGTACCCAGGAGGATGACTGATTTACAAATGTTTATAGACAATTTTATTTACTAATCTAGCTCTCACTCTCAACTAAATTTATAATCCTAATTATAGTCATCAGCATTTTCTTGATAACAAACCTACAGGATTTTTTTTTTTTTTTTTTGAGACAGAATTTCGCTCTTGTTGCCCAGGCTGGAATGCAGTGGTACAATCTCAGCTCACCGCAACCTCCATCTCCTGGGTTCAAGTGATTCTCCTGCCTCAGCTTCCCGAGTAGCTGGGATTACAGGCATGCGCCACCACACCTGGCTAATTTTGTATTTTTAGTAGAGAAGGGATTTCTCCATATTGGTCAAGCTGGTCTCGAACTCCTGACCTCAGGTGATCCGCCTGCCTCGGTCTCCCAAAGTGCTGGGATTGAGCCACTGTACCCGGCCTACAGGATGTATTTTATAGTTGTTTTTTAAAACTTTGTGGAGAGTTTATTTTCTTGATTGCTTTAAGTTCCCTATTAAAGTCTTAAATTTAACAATTGGCTTCTAACAGTTTAGTAATCTATGAATATTTTGTACCGCTTTATTTATTCTAAAAGGGCTTAAAGTCAAAGAAAAATGAGTATTTCTTTTTTTTTTTTTGAGACGGAGTTTTGCTCTTGTTTTCTGTTTTGTTTTGTTTTTGAGATGGAGTCTCGCTCTGTCACCCAGGCTAGAGTGCAGTGGTGCGATCTCAGCTCACTGCAACCTCCGCCTCCCGGGTTCAAGCAATTTTCCTGCCTCAGCCTCCCAAGTAGCTGGGATTACAGGCATGTGCCACCATGACCGGCTAATTTTGTATTTTTAGTAGAGATGGGGTTTCACCGTGTTGGTCAGGCTGGTCTCGAACTCCTGACCTCAGGTGATCCGCCCGCCTCGGTCTCCCAAAGTGCTGGGATTACAGGCGTGAGCCACCGCACCCGGCCAAGGAGTTTTGCTCTTGTTGCCCAGGCTGGAGTGCAATGGCGCAATCTCGGCTCACCGCAACCTCTGCCTCCCGGGTTCAAGTGATTCTCCTGCCTCAGCCTTTCGAGTAGCTGGGCTTACAGGCATGTGCCACCATGCCTGGCTAATTTTGTATTTTTAGTAGAGATGGGGTTTCTCCATGTTGGTCAGGCTGGTTTCGAACTCCTGACCTCAGGTGATCCACCCGCCTCGGCCTCCCAAAGTGCTGGGGTTACAGGCGTGAGCTACTGCGCCCAGCTGAAAAGTATTTCTTAGAGGTTTAAATGAGTGATGTCAAAACTCTTTGAGGTGATGGATATGTTAATTACCCTGATTAGATCATTACACATTGTATGCCTATATCAAAATCTCACATGGTACCGCATAAATATATACAATTATTATGTGTCAATTAAAAATAATAAAAGCAGAAAACTCCAAATAAAATGTTTAAAAAGCTTGTCACACTTCAAAGTCACTTGGCACATTAAAAAATAGTTTCTCCTGCTTCACCCTTGAGAGGTTAATTTTATGGAATTGGGGCAAACCCAGAATCTGGTTTTTTTTTGTTTTGTTTTGTTTTTTTGAGACAGAGTCTCACTTGTCGCCCAGGCTGGAGTGCAGTGGCTCGATCTCCGCTCACTGCAAGCTCTGCCTCCTGGATTCATGACATTCTCCTGCCTCAGTCTCCCGAGTAGCTGGGATTACAGGCGCCCGCCACCATGCCCGGCTAATTTTTTTGTATTTTTAGTAGAGATGGGGTTTCACCGTGTTGGCCAGGATGGTCTCGATCTCCTGACCTCATGATCCGCCCGCCTCGGCCTCCCAAAGTGAGCCACCGTGCCCGGCAGAATATGTATTTTTAAAAACCACCCAGGTGATTCCTAAATTGCTGCTACAAAGACCAGTTTGGGGAACTTGTGATCTAAATGCTTATCTATATTTTGTATGTTTGGTTTTTTTCAAAATGAATATAAAAAGTATGAGGCTGGGCACAGTGGCTCGCGCCTGTAATCCCAGCACTTTAGGAGACTGAGGCGGGTGGATCGCTTGAGCTCAGTAGTTTGAAACCAGCCTGGGTAACATAGTGAAACCCCGTCTCTACCAAAAATACAAAAATTAGCCGGGCACAGTGGTGCATGCCTATAGTCCCAGCTACTCCAGAGGCTGAGGCAGAAGAATCCATTGAGCCCGGGAGGTGGAGGTTGCAGTGAGCTGAGATCACGCCACTGTAGTCCAGCCTTGGTGATAGGAGTGAAACACTGTCTCCAAAAAAAAAAAAAAAAGGAATGCTTGATGAATTTGCGTGTCATCTTTGTGCAGGAGCCATGCTAATCTTCTCTGTTACCGTTCCAGTGTTCCAATTTTAGTACATGTACGGCCGAATCAGGCACTTTGTTTTTTAATGGTGTTTGGAAGTGACAGTTTTAATTTTTTTTTTTTTTGAGGCGGAGTTTCACTCTGTTGCCCAGGCTGGAGTGCAATGGCATGATCTCCACTCATTGCAACCTCTGCCTCCCAGGTTCAAACAATTCTCCAGACTCAGCCTCCCAAGTAGCTGGGTTTACAGGCACCCACCACCACGCCCAGCTAATTTTTGTATTTTTTAGTAGAGACGGGGTTTCACCATGCTGGCCAGGCTGCTCTCAAACTCCTGACTGCAGGTGATCCTCCTGCCTCAGCCTCCCAAAGTGCTGGGATTAGAGGCGTGAGCCACTGTGTCCAGCCTTTAAAACATTTTTAAGTAATGGAGGCCAGGTGTGGTGGCTCACACCTGTAATCTCAGCACTCTGGGAGGCTGGGGTGGGAGGATTGCTTGAGAATCAGGAGGTGGAGGCTGTAGTGAGCCATGATTGTACCACTGCACTTCGGCCTGAGCAACAGAGCAAAAAATATAAAATAAAATAAATATAATATAAAATAGGCCGGGTATGGTGGCTCACGCCTGTAATCCCAGCACTTTGGGAGGCTGAGGCAGGTGGATCACAAGGTCAGGAGTTCGAGACCAGCCTGGCTAATACGGTGAAACCCCATCTCTACTAAAAATACAAAAATTAGCCAGCCATGTTGGTGGGCGCCTGTAATCCCAGCTACTCTGGAGGCTGAGGCAGGAGAATCACTTGAACCCGGGAGGCAGAGGTTGCAGTGAGCAGAGATCGTGCCACTGCACTCCAGCCTGGGCAACAGAGCCAGACTCCATCTCAAAAAAATAAAATAAAATAAATATTAAGTAATGCTTTGCATTTCTGGAAAACATTCCTTTTCTCCTTCCTCCCCACCCACAGTGGGCTTCAACTCACCGGCCTCCTTTCAGTCCTTACCTAACCTACTGTGCTGTTCTCATAGTACTCGAAGCTCTCTTCTGGCTTCCCGTGATTCCTGGCTTTCTCCTGTCCTCTCTGGCAACATATTTTTGACTTTCTTTTGTGAATGACAATTGGCAAGACTTTCTTCCTTTACTATCTTTCAAAGCAAGCACTGTTGCTGCGTAAGGTGTCCTAGAAACTCTGGGAAAGGGTCCCAGGGCCATGTTAACTACTCCCATCACGGGCGTCTAGGTGCTTGGATTTTCAAGTCTCCATCTCTCACCATTTCTTTAAGAGGCTTTCCAGATCCCCGCATGTCAACTGCCTACGAGGCATTTATTCTCAGATGGCCTACAAAGCACCTCAAACTCAGTATTTCTCAAATATTAAGTTTCTGTCCATGTTTGCCCTCTGTGCCTCACAGCTTAGAGAATAGCTCCACCCAGTTACTCAAGCCAGAAACCTTGGGGTGTCCTAGTCATTCATCTAGTGCCACTGTCCTAAACGCTGGGGATACCAGAGACTACAAACAAGAATCCCTGTCCTCATTGAGCTTATGTTCCAGAGGAGGAAGACGGACATAAGCAGTCAGTTCCTACACCCAGGGACGCCAGCTCTGCAGCAGCGCTGCTGCCAGCCATTCAGCCTCTCCAGCACCTCAGTTCAATCCCCCCACCTGCCGCACCCGCCAGCTGGCCTTCCTCTGCTCTTTTACTCTCTTCAATCCATTCTCCCCACAGCAGTGATAACCTTCCTTCTTTTCTTTTCTTTTTTTTTTCTTTCTTTTTTTTCCCTTTCCTTTCTTTCAGATACAGTCTCACTCTGTCACCCAGGCTGGAGTGCAGCGGTGCCATCTTGGCTCACTGCAACCTCCTCCACCTCCCGGGTTCAGGCGATTCTCCTGCCTCAGCCTCCCGCATAGCTGGGATTACAAGCACCCACCACCATGCCCAGCTAATTTTTTTGTATTTTTAGGAGAACCAGGGTTTCACCATGTTGGCCAGGCTGGTCTCGAACTCCTGACCTCAGGTGATCCGCCCACCTCAGCCTCCCAAAATGCTGGGATTACAGGCGTGAGCCACTGAGCTGGGCCAGCAGTGTAATCTTTCTAAAGCCAAATCTTAACCGTTAGCCTCAAGCTTTAGGATCTTCATGCTTGCAGGATAAAGTCCACCCTTACAAACCTGGGTTAAAAGATGGTACAAGTTCTGGGCCCTGCTGGCCTCTCCACAGCACTGCTCACCCTCAGGCAGTGCTCTCTGTGCAGCCATACTGAGTTACAACCATGGTTCACTGCACCTGCCGTCCCCCAACTCCCTCCTGCCTCCCTGCCTGGTGAACTCCTGTCATTCTGTAGGTCTCAGCTTGGATGCTGTGACAGGGAGCCTCTAGAATGGCCCCCAGTGACCCCTATCTCCTAGTAATCCCTTTCCCTTGAGTGAGCTGGATTTACAGATGCAATTTTGAATAATAGAACCTTGTAGAAGGGATGAGTTGTCACTTCTGAGATTAGGTTATATAAAGACTGTCACTTCTTTCTAAGGGCTCTTTCTCACTTGGATGGTCCCCAGAAAGTCAGCTGCCATGTCACGAAGTGCCCTGTGAGAAGGACCTGTAAGGAGGGACGGAGGGAGGCCTCTAAATGACAGCCTTCGAGGAACTGAATCCTGCTGGTGACCATGTGAGGGAGCTTGGACTCCGGTCCCCCTGTGTTGAGCCTTCAGATGAGTTGGCAGCCCCAGCTGGTGGCATGACTGTAACGTCCTGAAACACCTTCAGCCAGAAAGCATTCAGCTAAACCACACCTGTATTTCTGACCCAAAGAAATTGTGAGATAATAAACATTTCTTCTCTTGAACTGCTATACCTTAAGCTAATTCGTTACACAGCAATAGATAACAAATACTACCTCTGGACCCCTGCCTGCCACCATACCAAATTCCATGCTCTGAGTTCTAGAGTCAGTGGTGTTTCCACCTGTCATGCCCAGCCCTTCACTGCTAGTATTATAATGAGGGCTTGCCCATATCTCTGCCCCCAGATGGCAGACTCTGTACAGGAAAGAAGGAAGGAGGAGTGGGAAGTCACCACTTTCTTTCTCAAGACTCTGAGTCTCTATTCTGCTGCTGGCCACATGTTTATACCCACAGTGTCAACAGCGCCTGGCCCCAAAGTGCAGCTGCAACTTCAGGAAGAGACTCAGGCCAGCCAGAGCCAAAGCTCTATGGCAGCCACCTTCCTCCACCTCCTTCTATTACACTTCCCTCCACCTCCCTCCATCTCCTCAGTCTTCTCAGCCAGCTTCCCCTGACCCTTGAGCACCAGGCAAGCATGCACACACACAGGCACATGCAGGCATGCACGCACGACACCAGGCCCACAGCCTCTCTTTACTCCAGAGGAGCTAGGTGGAGTCACTCCTCCCTCCTTTCACACACACCCTGGGGCCACGCTTTTGTGGCTTTTCTGAATGAAAGGGGAGGTGAGGTGGGGGTGGGGGAAGCCGTCTCTGCCTTTGAACTGCCCAGTTCCTCCACCTTTATTTCCAGCTAACCACCGAGTGCCTGCAAAAAAACAAAACAAAACAAACCAGAAAAACTAAAAAAGGAGCCCAAGTGTCTCTTGCTGCTTTCAGTTTCTGGAGAGCCAGCACACAGGTCACCCACTATCCCTGCCGAAACCCTGAGGTCTGAGGAAGGCCTCTTCACACTGCCTCTGGGCGCTGCCTTTGGCTTCCGGGAGCCCCCCATGCACTTCCCTGGAAACAGGTGGAGCTCTGTCCTGTGGCTCTGATTCACTCTCCTGTCCCTCGGTACACCATTGCGCCGTGTCCTCCTGCTGGCCCTTCTGTTACCCTGTACTTGCTGTACACTACCACGGTGGCCGGGGGCCTCAGCACCAGGAAAGCAACTTCCCCCGTGTCCTCCCCAACTCCTGAGTCCAATCCTTCAAGTCTATGGTGCCGAAGCAGGGGAAATGAATGTTGGAGAGACATGCCTGGGTCTGAACTCACCTCTATTGAAGGAAAACAAAGCTCACTAAGATTGCACCCTACGGTGTGTGCTTCTGTTCTCTCCACCTACCGTCAGCACTCTCAGCAGTTTTCCTCTTGGCTCTGCCTCCTGCAATTACTTTCTGCTCAGCTGCTTGCTGTTGCTAAGAAGGGTTATGCCCATCAACTGTGCTGTAGACATGCAGTATTGTGACGATGGGAGGGACATGGCTTGGAAGGTGGCTTTAATTTGAATTCTGCCATTTATGATATTTGGCCCTGGGTGTGTTACCTGATCGTCCTGTGCCTTATCCTCTGCGTCTGCTAATAGACCGTTTCCCAGGGTTGGGCAGAGATGAAATTAAATAAAACCACACACACTACAGTGCATGGAATGTACTAGGTGTTCAATAAATGTTTCCTTTTTTTTTTTTTTTGAGACTGAGTTTCGCTCTGTTGCCCAGGCTGGCGTGCAATGGCGCGATCTTGGCTCACCGCAACCTCCGCCTCCCGGGTTCAAGCGATTCGCCTGCCCCAGCCTCCTGAGTAGGTGGGATGACAGGCACGTGCCACTATGCCCAGCTAATTTTTGTATTTTTATTTTTAATTTTTTCGAGACAGAGTCTTGCTCTGTTGCCCAGGCTGGAGTGCAGTGGCGAGATCTTGGCTCACTGCAACCTCCACCTCCTGGGTTTTAAGCAATTCTCTGCCTCAGCCTTCTGAGTAGTTGGGATTACAGTCACGTGCCACCATGCCCAGCTAATTTTTTGTATTTTTAGTAGAGATGGGGTTTCACCATCTTGGCCAGGCTGGTCTTGAACTCCTGACCTCATGATCTACCTGCCTTGGCCTCCCAAAGTGCTGGGATTACAGGCATGAGCCACTGTGCGCGGCCAAATGTTTCTTGTCTTGTGTTTCAAAAGGACTTTAAGGCCAGGCACAGTGGTTCATGCCTGTAATACCAACCCTTTGGGAGGCTGAGGGAGGAGGACTGCTTGAAGCTAGGAATTTGAGACCAGCCTGGGCAACATAGCAAGACCCTGACTCAACAAAACTCTTAAAAAACCAAAAGCATTAGCCTGGCGTGGTAGCATGCACCTGTAGTCCCAACTTCTCTGGAGGCTGAAGTGGGAGGATCACTTGAGCTCAGGAGTTGGAGGCTGCACTGAGCTATGACTGCACCACTGAACTCCAGCCTGGGCAACAGAGTGAGACCCTGGTTCTAAAAATAAATAAATAAATAAATAAATAAATAAATAAATAAATAAGGACTTTTAACAACCCTTGTACTTTTTTATTGGAAATACGCATAGAAAGCAAAGAAGATTTTGAGGTCTAGCTGATAAAGGGCCACATTCAGTCTTTTATTGGTTTTTTGGTGAAGCAGGAAGACGTTGAGGGTGGTATGAGGATACTACTCTTTTATTGGTTTTTAATCTGACTTACCCTGCCGTGCTGAGTTAATGCTGTGGAAAACAGCTGCTCAAATGCCAGAGGAATGGATGTGCCTGAACCTGCCCCTGACTCCCAGGTGGTAAGGTGTTTTTCATGTTTGTGTTCAGGTCTCTGTGCCTTTGCTTTGGCCTCACCACGATGGAAGGGAAGTGCCCACATCGCAGGGAGCACACAGAATATGACGGCTAACATGCTACATCCAGCCTGCCATTATCCGCAGGGGTATGGCGTCATTGGATTCACATTTATCATTCAACTTCCAGATCAACAAAGCTTGTCTTCATAAATTAAGTGCATCCAAGTTTCTTTATATTGGCCACAGCAGACACAGAGGATCCGCAGCAAATCATGGATTTCAGTGGTCTTTTCAAATCAGTCAAGTTTAGGTCTAGTATGTGCTAGTGCCTAACTCTAAGCATAATAAGAAGAGGAGCCAAACACATTATGTTGAGATTTTTAGAAATTTAACTCAAGGTTGGGCGTGGTGGCTCACGCCTGTAATCCCAGCACTTTGGGAGGCCGAGGAGGGTAGATCACTTGAGGTCAGGAGTTGGACACCAGCCTTGGGCAACATGGTGAAACCCCATCTCTACTAAAAACTACAAAAATTAGTGTGGTGGCGGGTGCCTGTAATTCCAGCTACTTGGGAGGCTGAGGCAGGAGAATTGCTTGAATCCAGGAGGTGGAGGTTGCAGTGAGCCGAGATCACTCCAGCCTGGGCGACAAAGCAAGAATCTGTCTCAAAAAAAAAAAAAATTTAAATCAATTGTAGGAGTTT